>NT_167247.2:554836-671014 GCF_000001405.40 Homo sapiens
GGCCAACTAAGTACATGAACCTTACTAAGTCAGGATCACAAGAAGAATATGACATAGGGCAACTGAGAGGATCAGAAAAGTAAATAGAGGATCCTGAGCTGATTTCAGAGCAGTCACATTTTGTTTACTATCCTCTAATAAATATTTGTTTATTGTTACAAATATCATTATAAACTGCATAAATGCATAAAAATAAAACAACTGTAATACATCTGGGGATTCATAATTAGGTAAGTATATAATAATTGTTAATAGTCATTGAATTATTAGTATATGACAAGAACTGAGCTATGTTTGCAATGTACACTCTATTCCTTAATTTGTACACTAGTTCTATGAGATGGGTATAATTATGCTTATTTGAAAGATGAGAAAATTGAAGCACACAAAGATTAAATGACATCTCCAAAGTCACACAGCTAATGAATGGAATGACTGGGATTTGGAGGAAATCCTAGTCTTTTATAAATGTCTTTTATAAAACAACTAGAGAAAAACACAAGACAAATTTACTAAAAGATAAGAGTCAAACAAAAAAAGAAATTTGGGATTGTAGGGAATGGAAAAATTTGCAATTGGAGTTATTCTTTAGAAATTATATGATAAAGGAATTGTGTAATTTGGATGGGCAAAGAGCAGGATAGAGGCAATTTTGGTGGAAAAAATAGTATCAGTAATTAGAAAATATGAGAATAAAGAAGGGAGAGAGAGGGAAAATGATTAAGTTTATATGTGCTGAGAATGATGCTGAGAGATTACAAATTCATATACATCCTCAAATTTCAAGGATTCACATATTTAAAACTCTTTCTGGTGATTTCTTCCAGAGATTAAAATTTCATCAAATGTATCCAGATATTTTTAAAGTTGCATTTTCACAGCAAACAAATTTCTAAGGACTGATTGTTTTTTTGTGTGTGTAATTTTGTTTGTTTTTTTGGCTTTTTTCTCCCTATTTTTAAATGTTCTGAGTAGGACTAGCATTAAAGCTTGGAAGGGGTAAAACGAGTCATGGCACTCCATCCTTTTATCATGCAGACTTTATAAAGTGCTCCAGTTCTTATGGTGTTTTCTGACCAGGATCTGTACCAAGCAGATGAACATGCCAAGATGTCTTCGTTCTCCCTGGCTGCACATCCTCCTGTAGTCTTCATGCCGGCCTTCGTTTGACCTGTTTTTGGGAAGTTCTGCCTTTTCCTTCTATTTTAATCTACACTCTGTTGCCACCATTACATATCCATGCATGTAGAGTTGATGGTAGTATACTAAAACTTTTTAGAAGAGAAGATATGAAAACCCAAATGGAGTGAATAGCTAACCAGAAGACATATATTAAATAAGCAAAATTCCCAACTATGTTGCTGGTGTGGTATTTATTCTTTTCTCAGTAATCTTTCAATATTACATTGATGATGTTGTCTCCACATTTCATCATAATCAGGATGTAGATGCAAATGATATTTTACTGTAATGAAGATACAGATGCCGATTAGAGCAAAAATGAAAATTTCATCTTGGCATCTCTGATCTCTAATTCTCAGTGGCTTCCTCCTACTGTTGATGTCTATCCCTAACTGTGGGTATTTAGAGGTCTCAGCTGGAATTTCACCTCCCAGTGCTAACATGTGGATCAACAATCAAAGCTCGCTAGATGATTTTATCCTATTGGGATTTTCTGACCGTCCCTGGCTAGAGACACCCCTCTGTAATCTTTCTGGTGGCCTACATCTTTTCCCTATTTGGAAATATCTCCATTATCCTAGTTTCCCATCTGGATCCCCAGCTTGACAGTCCCATGTACTTTTTTGTCTCTAATCTATCCTTTCTGGACCTCTGCTATACCACCAGCACTGTCCCACAGATGCTGGTCAACCTCCGGGGACCAGAAAAGACCATTAGCTATGGGGGTTGTGTTGCCCAACTCTATATATTTTTGGCCCTGGGTTCTACTGAATGCATACTTCTAGCCATCATGGCCTTTGACCGTTACGCTGCCATTTGCAAGCCCCTTCACTACCCAGTCATCATGAACCATAGACGCTGTATCCACATGGCTGCTGGCACTTGGATCAGTGGCTTTGCTAACTCCCTTGTCCAGTCCACTCTCACAGTGGTGGCCCCAAGATGTGGACAGAGGGTGTTGGACCATTTCTTCTGTGAAGTTC
This sequence comes from Homo sapiens, assembly GCF_000001405.40. Classification (NCBI taxonomy): domain Eukaryota; kingdom Metazoa; phylum Chordata; class Mammalia; order Primates; family Hominidae; genus Homo; species Homo sapiens. The sequence goes on from NT_167247.2 coordinate 557,002, forward strand.
CAGCCCTTTTGAAACTAGCCTGTATTGATATTCGTGTGAATGAAATGGAGCTCAATGTACTAGGCGCTTTGCTTCTCCTGATGCCACTCACCCTCATCCTGGGCACTTATGTGTTCATTGCTCAGGCAGTAATGAGAATCTGCTCTGCTGAAAGTCGCTGGAAGGCTTTCAATACCTGTGCCTCACATTTGCTGGTGGTCTCCCTCTTCTACTTCACAGCCATCAGTATGTATGTCCAGCCTCCCTCTAGCTATTCTCATGACCGGGGGAAGATCATGGCTCTCTTTTATGGCATTGTCACACCCACCCTCAACCCATTCATCTACACATTGAGAAACAAGGATGTGAAAGCTGCCCTGAGAAGGTCACTGACTAAAGAGTTTTGGATTAAGACAAGATGATATCTGAAAAGAAGTCCTAAGAAGCGAGGATAGATGTGTTTGACTTTCAAAAAGATGTTGGACATGGAATTGATGAGGGAACAGTATCAAGTGACACAAAGTTTACAAGTGGAACAAGACTAAGAAAAAAACAATTAACTCTTGGTAAAATCTACATAGCATTTTTTCACTTACGAGACTATCTGCTTTACAATATTGGATTCCATCAAGTCAGTCTTTTTTCTCCCTATTCCTAATGACTAGCTAATCTAGTTAAAGTAAGGGAAAATGGTATAATAGCTAGAGAAAAAGATACTGAGAAAGTTTAGGAAATATATTTAGCATAAATTGTTTATAAATGAATCCCAATTAAATTAGAAATGATCCCAACTCTTAGAAAAACATGCCAGTACTATCGTGAGGTAATTTTGATCAACATGTATTGCCACCATTTAGCCATCTTCTAACATTCGATGTCCAATTATATCACCCTCAAATGCTTTTGTAAGGTCTCACAGGCAAGTAAAATCAAGAGACAATTAGTTCAAAAACATTAAGATGGAATTATGGAAAGAGAAATTAATGAACAAATTTAGAGGTGATGATTTTAAATATATTTTTTTTGCCATGAATTCTTTTAAATACAAATTTTTTTTGCCATAAATGTTTTGCCTTAGTCAATCTTATGCTCTTGTGGTACACAACAATGAGGCCTAGGTCAATGCAAATAGAACTTACTCTGGGGGGAAAGATGAACAGTGAGATGCTTTGGATAGTGATCAGCAGGGGAAAAATCTGAGGTGGAAAAAATTCTAATTTAGGGACACAAACTCAGTGGGAATTTACATGTTTTGACAAGGCAGCTTTCTTCACCACTTGACTGGGTAATTTAGTCCTATTTCAGTGTGGGGGTTTGAGAATACCATGTGGAATTCAAAACTTTGGTTGATCTATTATCTTTATTTAGAAAAAAAAGACTTTTATAGCCTTTTGCTATAAACTGCCTCACAAACCTATGAGCCGAAGAAACCAAGACAAAATAGAGTGAGTTCACCAAAAAATCCACATCATTAAAAGAACAGTGCAAAGCTCTATTTCCTGTACTGTGAGCATGTCCACTTTCTGTGGCTCCCGGTGGTGAGACAGATGAGAAGCTGGAACACAGATAAAAGGTTTTTGGGAACACTTTTGAAGGCCTGTGGCTATATAAGAGAAAGTGAGTTCATTTCCTTAATTCTAGTATAATCTGGAAAAGGATCCTAGACATTATGCATTTTTTTGATCACAGTATTTTTCCCAACCCATGGTTCATTTATACATGGAGTCTGCTATTGGCATGAAATAAAATACATCCTAATATGTATTATGAAAAAAACGCTTATTGTATTTATTTATTCTATTAAAGCAGTATATTTCTCAGAGGTTGAATGTTGGGGGTTTTTGTGGTCATTTAATAAAAATGTTAACATATTCTTGAGTTTGTTTGTTTAACTTAGAAGTATAAATAGAACTCAAAATAATTGAACATTGAAACTACTGTGTTGCATTGGAATAAACATGGATATATTATGTTGAGAAAATCACATGTATTTTTAAATTAAAATATGGGTGCTTGGAGAAATGTTTTGCTGATGTGGGTGGCTGCTCAAGATATGTCCCCCAAGCCCTAGAAATATATTTTGATTCACTTTCATTATTACAGATATGCCAGAGAAAAATTTTATCTTTAAACAGTTTTAAATTTTTGACTTTATAAAGGTATAATATTTCTGCATGTATGCTGCCTGAGATTTTGGAAGGCTATATATTTAAATATATCATTAAATAAATTATAGTACCTGTACTATCAAGCAAGCAAATCAAAATAAGGCAATGTTGAACAAGTTTAATAAGGAAATATTTTAAGTATTCCTGAAAGTATTACCAAAACATTAGTAAAGTTATTAAATATTAAAAGTTACTAAATATTACATCAATTATGCAAATAATTGGCAAGCCATTAAATAGAAATAGGCCCTGTGCTATAGGAGCAGTAGGAAAACATATTCAATAAGGTAAAAATATTTATATCAGAACAAAGTCTACTATCATATTTATTCTAGGAGAAGTGGATAATTCCCAACACTTTTAGAAATAATAGAAATTTTCTGACTCTCATCACAGTTATATATTGTTGGTTTGGATTAACTACCCAACATGATTTAAAAATAATATTAGTAAATTATTAAATAAAAATATTTATTTGTTATATCTTATAAAACAACATAAACAGCAACATTTAAATGAGCTGTTGCTATGATGAGGTTTATCTTATGATGAAAATGCATTCCTTTATTTGGTAAATATTTATTGATGGCAACTATGTACAAGTCACTGAAATAAAATTAGACATTTACCTTTACATCAAGGAATACAACTTTTGAAAAAAACTGAGAAATAAAAAAGGCAGAACTGAGCATCCAGACTAAGGCAGAATTTGTCATAAAAAGTGTCAGAAAAGATAATGCTAAACATAGAAAAATCTTTCACGACTTGCAGAATGATGTGATTTGGCTCTGTGTCCCCATCCAAATCTCATCTCGATTGTAATCCCCATATGTTGAGGGAGGGAGGTGACTGGATCGTGGGGGTGGTTTCTCCTATTCTGGTCTCGTGACAGTGAGTTAGTTTTCATGAGATCTGATGGTTTTACAAGCCTCTGGCATTTCCCCTGCTTGCACTTCTCTCTCCTGCCACCATGTGAAGAAGGTCAGTGCTTCCTCTTCACCTTCCACCATGATTGTAAGTTTCTTGAGGCCTCCCCAGCCATGTGGAACTGTGAGTCAATTAAACCTCTTTTCTTTACAAATTACCCAGTCTTGGGTATTTCCTTATAGCAGTATGAAAATGGACTAATACACAGAGAGAGGGCCCTGCTTGAGTTTAGCTGAGCGCTGATTTGCATGTGTGTGAGGAAGCTATCCAAGAATGAGGAAAGAACCACTTAATGGATTAAGGTAAATAGTGCCCAATGCTTATGCAAAGGCTGGGAATTTTGTGGGTTCTCAAGCTATTTATGTGCCAGAATGAAAACCTAAGAATTCCTGAGGCATTGAGTTTGGCAATCAAAAGTGTCTTGCTTCAAGAATTTCAATAATTAGCTCTAAACTAAACACTGTTCTGGTTTTACCTAACAAATCTTCAAAACAAGTGACTAAAGTATCAAACTGTATCCAAGTAACTTAGTAACACTCCAGAATAAACTCAAGGGTATTTATAGGATTACAGATATACCCAGTAAAAGAAAATTTTCCAATGAAAATTTACTAAGCATGAAAAAAAGCAGGAAAATATGATGTAAGGAGAAAAATCAATAAATCAAACCTGACTCAGAACTGACACATATGTTAGAATGATTCAAGTTATGGCATTAAAACAATTATACTGTTTACCATATGTTCAAAAATTTAGAGACGAGGAAGATACTTTAAAAAATCAAACTTCTAGAGATGAAAACCACAACGTTTAAATATACATAATACCTAAAAGCACTGAATGTAATTCATAATACACTAAACATTGAGAAGTCCCATGATCTGCAGTTGGCATGCTGGAGTTCCTGGGCCTTGGGAGGAGGCTCTGTGCAGGCCTCCCAGGGCCAGTCCCCTGGGGTCTGCTCTATACAGGTCACCCGAGGCGTTAGGGTGACCTCGGAGCCTGCCACTCCCGACAGCCAGACCCAGGGCCTGCGTTCTGCTCTACCCAGGGCCTCCCTGAAAGCCCCTGCCCGACTAGGCACAGCTGCAGCCGCCAAAGTCGGTGCAGTATACCCGGGGCTCCTGTGTGCTGGGAGCAGGCAGGAGCTCTGCCCACCCTGGGCGCGGCTGCAGCCACCCACGTCAGGGTTGTAGACTTGGGCCTCCATGTGCTCTTGAGGGCTGGGAGCAGGCAGGAGCCCCACACCCCCAGGCACAGCTGCAGCTGTCCAAATGGAGACAGTAGATGTGGGCCTCCGTGTGCTCTTGAGAGCCAGGGAAGGCCCCCTTTGCCATTGCAGGCTCAGAGGTGCCTGCTCCTACTGCCTGGTCTCTTCCCACTCTCTGCAACTGATCCAATCTAGGAGTAGGTGGAGCTGAGCCCAGGCACTGTCACAACCCTGCCAGGTATATGCATGATCGAGCCCTGCCACCTCAGCCCCCTCTGGATGTTGGGCCAGACAAGAGTGGATGCGGGCAAAGCGTTGGCCTGCAGGTGCCCCTTGGCACCATGAAAGGCGTCAGGAGGCAGACGGGCTCCTAGGTGGAAGGGAGTGGGTCCCTGTAAGGCCCCATCCTCAGGCCAGGAAGAGCCTGAAGGCTGGGGGTCAGGCTGCCACACCGGTGGACTGGAGTGGGGTCTTGTGGTGCCTTTTTCTGCCCACCCATGGCCACGGATGGACCACTCCATATGCACTTCCTCCCCTCTGAGGTCCATAAAAGCCCCAGGATCAGCAATAGCATGGTAGAGGACAACTGAGAGATGACGAGATGACCAGCTGCAGAGAGTAGCTATCCTCTCTGCTGAGAGCTGGGAAGTCAATGGGGACCTGCCTGCAGAGAGGAGCCACCTCTCCAAACACACCCAGAATGATGTTCGACCAAATATAGGCCTGTCTCATTTTATTGTGCTTCACTTTATTGCACCTGAAGGTTTGTGGCAACCTTGCAATGAGCAAATCTATCAGTATCATTTTTCCAACGGCATGTGCTCCCTTCATATCTCTATGTGACGTTTTGGTAATTCTCACAATATTTCAAACTTTTTCGTTATTATTGTATCGTTATTGTCAGGCCTCTGAGCCCAAGCTAAGCCATCGCATCCCCTGTGACCTGCATGTATATGCCCAGATGGCCTGAAGTAACTGAAGAATCACAAAATAAGTGAAAATGGCCTGTTCCTGCCTTAACTGATGACATTCCACCACAAAAGAAGTGAAAATGGCCGGTCCTTGCCTTAACTGATGACATTACCTTGTGAAATTCCTTTTCCTGGCTCATCCATTCCTTTTCCTGGCTCATCCTGGCTCAAAAAACCTCCCCCACTGAGCACCTTGTGACCCCCACTCCTGCCCGCTAGAGAACAACCCCCCTTTGACTAATTTTCCTTTACCTACCCAAATCTTATAATATGGCCCCACCCCTATCTCCCTTAGCTGACTCTCTTTTCGGACTCAGCCCGCCTGCACCCAGGTGATTAAAAAGCTTTATTGCTCACACAAAGCCTGTTTGGTGATCTCTTCACACGGACGCGGGTGAAAGTTATGGTGACGTGTGATCAGTGATCTTTGATGTTACTATTGTAATTGTTTTAGGGAACCACAAACTGCCCATGTAAGTCAGTGAACTTAATTGATAAATGATGTATGTTTTGATTGCTCCACCCACTGGCTGTTCCACCATCTCTCCCTCTCTTCAGGCCTCTCTATTTTCTAAGACACAACAATATTGAAATGAGACCAATTAATAATCCTACAATGGCCTTTAAGTATTCAAGTGAAAGGAAGAGTCACATGTCTCTTATTTAAATCAAAAGCTAGAAATGATTAAGCTTAGTGAAGAAGGCCTATCAAAAGCCAAGACAGGCCAGAAGCTAGGGCTTTTGCACCAGTTAGCCAAGTTGTGAATGTAAAGAAAAGTTATTGAAAAAAATTAAAATGCGCTACTCCAGTAAACACATAAATAAGATAGCAAAACAGTCTTATTGCTGATATGGAGAAAATTTTTTGTGGTCTGGATAGAAAATTTTAAAAAGCTAGGGAAAAAAAGAAAAATAAATCCATGTCAGTAGAAGCCAGAAAATAATAAAGAAAATATTTAATAATTGAAAGTAATAAAATAGAAAATAATAGATAAATTAATTTTTGTATTTTTTGTAGAGACAGGGTCTCACCGTGTTGCCCAGGCTGGTCTTGAACTCATGTGCTCTAGTGATCTGCCTGCCTTGGCCTCCCAAAGTGTTGGGATTGCAGGCATGAGCCACCTCGCCCTGCCTGAGTTAAACTTCTAGTGGAAAACCCCTTTTATATAAGCCACAAGCAGTTTCAGACTGTCCAATGTTATTATTACTAACATAAATTAATGTAGGCTTTCTTTTATCCTAGAGGAGTTGTGGAAAAACATCCTCATGGCATGAATTATGAGTCAGAATATTAAAGGCATAGACACAGGAGTTGGAAATTGAAAGTGTAGATGAAAAAAAAAGAAAAAGAATTTTACAATATCAAAATTAGATTTTTTCACTGAATTCAAAAAGGTCTCCACAAAACTTTTGTAAGGGATTCAAACCCTTCCTTTAAAAAATAAATAAATAAATATTTCTTAATATCAGTCTGTAGTTACTGTATCATCAGGAACAGGTTTTGAAAATTATTGTTTATGCTGAGAAAACAACTATCTGAATATAACTAATAACCATTATTACTAGATTGATTCTAGGAACATAGATAAATTTAAATTTATTTTTAAAAGACAAACATTTTTAATATTTGAAAATATAGGTCACCCTGAGCTTTCTAGTAATTGGAATGAATGACAATTGCTTTTGTTTGCTAACACATCCATTTGTCTACAATTTTCTTAATGTATTTAATTCTGAAATGATTCATTCAGTTTCGGTCTGATGAAGAGAGTAAAGTGAAAATATTACTCATCAATTGAAATATTACTATAGGGTCTTTTTGTAACTGTTTTCTTTGTCATTGGATGCTCTTAGCATGTATTGATTAGATTTAATCAATCTTAAAAAAAAGAAAAACACACATCTCTCAAATTTTAATGTGCCTTTATCTTGGAAAGTATTTTATTAAAGTTTATCCTATTTGAACTATCCCACAGTTTTCTCTAAATTATCCATTATTGTTGTATGTTGAAATTTTTGGATTATTTGTCTACTAACCACCATGTATAATATTGAATCCACCTACCATCTGTATCCAAAGCTTTTACAAAAACATTGATCAGATCACAATCAAAGTCAATGTTAAAATAGAAAATTCTTTCCTCAAAATGAAAAAAACCTCAGAGTATTTTTTAATCATTCATTAATTGTCTCTTATTGTTCATAAACAGCCTTATGAAAACGTGTGATCCTTACTGAGACACCATATTGTGGTACTTAATGTGGTACTATATTTGTCACTGGAGATCAAAATAAAGTTTATTGGTCTGCAACATTTACAATTCAGTTTCTTATATTTATATATATAATTCATATATATAATACACATAATATAAATCATATACATTATATATATATATATACACACACACACGGGAACTTAGAGCTATTTTTAAACATTTGCCAAGTAGAATATACAATATATTAAATTTTTGATATTAAAAGTTTTAAAAAATTTTCTTTCAATGCTAAGAAGGTAGATTTTATGTTAAGTGTCCTTATCATGATTTCAAAAATGCCTTTTCCAAGGCATTCAATTAGGAAAAGAGGAAGTCAAATTGTCCCTCTTTGCAGATGATATGATTGTATATCTAGAAAACCCCATCGTGTCAGCCCAAAATCTCCTTAAGCTGATAGGCAACTTCAGCAAAGTCTGAGGATAAAAAATCAATGTGCAAAAATCACAAGCATTCTTATACACCGATAACAGACAGAGAGCCAAATCATGAGTGAACTCCCATTCACAATTGCTTCAAAGAGAATAAAAACCTAGGAATCCAACTTACAAGGGATGTGAAGGACCTCTTCAAGGAGAACTACAAACCACTGCTCAATGAAATAAAAGAGGATACAAACAAATGGAAGAACATTCCATGCTCATGGGTAGGAAGAATCAATATCGTGAAAATGGCCATACTGCCCAAGGTAATTTATAGATTCAATGCCATCCCCATCAAGCTACCAATGACTTTCTTCACAGAGTTGGAAAAAACTACTTTAAAGTTCATATGGAACCAAAAAAGAGCCTGCATTGCCAAGTCAATCCTAAGCCAAAAGAACAAAGCTGGAGGCATCACACTACCTGACTTCAAACTATACTACAAGGCTACAGTAACCAAAATAGCATGGTACTGGTACCAAAACAGATATAGACCAATGGAACAGAACAGAGGCCTCAGAAATAATGCCACATATCTACCAGTATCTGATCTTTGACAAACCTGACAAAAACAAGCAATGGGGAAAGGATTCTCTATTTAATAAATGGTGCTGGGAAAACTGGCTAGCCATATGTAGAAAGCTGAAACTGGATCCCCTCCTTACACCTTATACAAAAATTAATTCAAGATGGATTAAAGACTTCAATGTTAGACCTAAAACCAGAAAAACCCTAGAACAAAACCTAGGCAATACCATTCAGGACATAGGCATGGGCAAGGACTTCATGTCTAAAACACCAAAAGCAATGGCAACAAAAGCCAAAATTGATAAATGGAATCTAATTAAACTAAAGAGCTTCTGCACAGCAAAAGAAACCACCATCAGAGTGAACAGGCAACCTACAAAATGGGAGAAAATTTTTGCAACCTACTCATCTGACAAAGGGCTAATATCCAGAATCTACAATGAACTCAAACAAATTTACAAGAAAAAAACAACCCCATCAAAAAGTGGGCAAAGGATATGAACAGACACTTCTCAAAAGAAGACATTTATGGAGCCAAAAAACACATGAAAAAATGCTCATCATCACTGGCCATCAGAGAAATGCAAATCAAAACCACAATGAGATACCATCTCACACCAGTTAGAATGGCAATCATTAAAAAGTCAGGAAATAACAGGTGCTGGAGAGGATATGGAGAAACAGGAACACTTTTACACTGTTGGTGGGACTGTAAACTAGTTCAACCATTGTGGAAGTCAGTGTGGCAACTCCTCAGGGATCTAGAACTAGAAATACCATTTGACCCAGCCATCCCATTACTGGGTATATACCCAAAGGATTATAAATCATGCTGCTAGAAAGACACATGCACACATATGTTTATTGTGGCGCTATTCACAATAGCAAAGACTTGGAACCAACCCAAATGTCCAACAATGATAGACTGGATTAAGAAAATGTGGCACATATACACCATGGAATACTATGCAGCCATAAAAAATGATGAGTTCATGTCCTTTGTAGGGACATGGATGAAGCTGGAAACCATCATTCTCAGCAAACTATCACAAAGGACAAAAACCCAAACATCGCATGTTCTCACTCATAGGTGGGAATTGAACAATGAGATCACATGGACACAGGAAGGGGAACATCACACTCTGGGGCCTGTTGTGGGGTGGGGGGAGTGGGGAGGGATAGCATTAGGAGATATACCTAATGCTAAATGACTAGTTAATGGGTGCAGCACACCAACATGGCACATGTATACATATGTAACAAACCTGCACGTTGTGCACATGTATCCTAAAATTTAAAGTATAATTTAAAAAAATGCCTTTTCCATAATCACACATATTTAAGAATGGAATTCATTCACTTTTGAGTAAAAATTATTCATCTGGGGGATTGTTAAAATGAGGGCTGGATTATCAGTTTCAGAGTAATTTTAGAAAAGACACCATGTTTGAAGAAAGTTTAGCTCTCTAAGTCATGGTTTTATTCTGAGATTCTTTGATTCTACTATTATGTATGGGTTTATGTAAATAATTACTAAGTATTCCTTTTTTTTTTTACATAAGGCCAGTGCAATCATGCGTGATTTTATTGGTGACCAGTTAAAATGAAACTGTTAATTAATGAAAAAAATCCTTTTTACTAGAAAAACCTGTGAATCTGTGTTACAGAAAACGAGTTATGTATAATATTCATTTTTTTAACCTGAAATGCATCGACTACAAGAGTTAGCTAAACCAAGATAATAATTAACTACTTCCCACTGAGGCAATTCCCTGAGGGAGAGGTCCATGAAATCCCCTGCTTTGAACTCATAGTTTTTATCTGAAACACCAACTTTCCTGCACAGGATTTTTGTCCCCAGTGCCTGGACAGCACTGGCTTCATTTCAAATACCCCTTAGTTAATAGGAAATTTAAATGTCCCTGGGCAGTTACATCCTGTTTGGTCCTATATAAAAGCGTTTCAGTCCTTTCCTTACATGGAAATTTCACTGACTGAAACACCAGCTTGATTCTAGAACAAAGATGCTCAGTCTCAGGATCAATTGAGATTTGTTTCTACCGAGAGATCCACTCTGGTGAGTAAAACTTCTTCAAATTTTATGGAATTTATCCAACATTTATGTAGCACCTGCTTAGTGCCAGCGACTATGCGAGTCTTCAAAGTTATAACTCTAAATAAGATACATAATTTCTCACTCCTTAACTAAGAACAGTTTAAATAAGCTGCGATATCTATGCAAATAAGGTAGTATAAATTATAAAAAAGTATATAAAGCATAAAAAAGTTAGTAAAAATTATAAGGAATCTTAAATGAATGCAATCTGGGCTCCAAAGAGTGACAATTCTTCTTGGGTCGACAGTTAAACTCAGGTGAATTATAAATGGAAAGAGACAATGTAGCTGTGTTAAAAGATAGTTAAGTATTTGCCAAACAAATGAGGGGAGATTTTTTTTCTTTTTTTTTCTTTTTTTTTTCTTTTTTTTTTTTTTTTTTGAGACGAGTCTCGCTCTGTCACCCAGGCTGGAGTGCAGTGGCGCGACCTTGGCTCACTGTAACTTCCGCCTCCTGGGTTCAAACAATTCTCCTGCCTCAGCCTCCCTAGTAGCTGGGATTACAGGTGCCCACCACCGTGCCCGGCTAATTTTTGTATTTTTAGTAGAGATGGGGTTTCGCCATTTTGGCCAGGCTGGTTTTGAACTCCTGACCTCAGGTGATCTGCCCACCTCAGCCTCCCAAAGTGCTGGGATTACAGGTGTGAGCAACCGTGCTCAGCCATGAGGGGCAATTCTAATGGGAGGACTTCCAGACAGGAGGGATAGTGTGATTTAAGAAAAGAAACACAGCATGGTGATACAACCTGATTGATTTATTAAGAGTAATTAAGTCAGTCGCCATTATTAGACATGGAGATTGGCATGGGGTTAGAGAAGTCACAATGATAGATAATACTGGAATGGCAGTCAGGAAGCATTGTAAAGATATTGTTTGCCATCCTAAGCTTTTTGGGCATCATTGCGTAATCAAGTCAATAAAGAGCTAAAAGCTAAATTAATGTTACAAGATGTGATCTGCATCACCATTTGTCCTGGCAACAGCATTGAAGTTGGATTAGAAATACATAAAACTGAAGAATAAAATATTGCCAGAGATAATGAAGGTTTGAACTAATCTGTACGTGTGACAGCAAGATGTAATAACTACAACAGATAGTAAGCAAATAAAATTTTGGTGTTTGATTGGATATACAGATTAAAGCAAAGTTGTGCTTGATTGGATATACAGATTAAAGCAAAGTTGTGCCATTCTTTGAAATAGGTCACAGTGACAGGGAGATGTCTGGGAGAAGAGATGAGTCCTTATGGGAAAGACCCATTCAGGGGCAGTGATGTGCCAACCGTGAAGCAGGATATGAGGACCTGCAACCCAGGGGACCTGCAACCCAGAAGACCTATGGTAGTGCTCGAAACAGCAGACTATTATTTTCTATTGTGTAGGAAAATAGTTAATCTGTCTTCTTTAAAAGGCACAGGAATATTTTTGAGTAAACAAAAGTACAGAAAGAAAGTGTCAGGACAAATTTTTGGAAACCATCAAATTTCAATAAATGTTAAAAGAAGACCCAGATAACGAGACTAAGAAAAAATATTCAGAGAGGAAATAGAAAACCAGAACTAAGTGTCATAGAGCCAATGGAAGTCAGCTGTTTTAGAAGAAAGAACTGTATAATAGTGTCATATATTTGAGAAACAAAATTTAAAATAAAAACAAAATAGAAAGTGCATTGAATTTACCGTTGTGATAGTTATTTGTGGATTTGCTGGAGCTGTTTGTGAGGACTCATGAAGCAAGAATGATTAACATGGTTCAAGAATTGAACCAAATGTGCCAGGGCACAGAATGATACCCTATTCTGCTCATAAAGCATGGCTGTAAAGAGAAGGGACATTATAAGTAAGTCCTAAGTGTGGAGTGAAGACTTTTCTTTTTCTTTAAAATGGATGAGTCTTAAGATTATCTCTATCTATCTATCTATCTATCTATCTATCTATCTATCTATCATCTATCTATCATCATCTATCTATCTCTAATCTATCATCTATCAACAGAGCATAGTGAAACAATCTGGTTCATTACGAGTAATCTCAGTAAATCAACATTATTAGAATTTTTAGACATGGAGTTTGTGTTGATTTTATACACACACATATACAGACACACACACACACATAAAATGTGCACTATTATGAAAGAGAGAGAGAGAGCAAGTGCATACTGTGGCAAAGATGCCCTTTGCGATAGAGCAAGGTTGAGTATAGGGTTGGTCACTGACTTGGAAAGGAAAAAAGAGCTCTTTCTCTGCCTTTGAAACCCTAGAGTGGGTGGAATTAAATCATGTTAGAGATCATTTCGTTTATATACAGGTAGGAAACTGAGGGGCTTAACATATAATTACCTATGTTTTCTCATTGAAGTTATTGGCAATGCTACCTCCCAGGAAATAGAGGAAAATAGTGAAGAAGAGACACAGGATGCTAACTCTTTAGAGCAGCTACTGGAATGAATTAGAGTTTACCTACATAACATATTTGCACATGTACCACTGAACTTAAAAGAGAACTACTTTCAAAAAAATTGAGGGTTTCAACATTTGAGAGGTAAAAAACGGAAAAGTTTAGAAATGTTTTGTAGGATAAAATTTGCATACAAGTGGTTAGTGAAGACAGAAAAAAATGCTTGGGGGAAACAAATGACATTGAAAGAATCATTATACTCTCCACCAAAAAATGTTTAGTTTTATTATAAATAAAGTATTTAATGCAGGTATGACTTGGAAGGATTGAACACAGGTTTTATATGTTCTTGCAGTATCATCCTTTATCCTAAGAGTATCTCCACACGTATATGATTCCCTTCCTTCTTATTTGATAAGTGATGAATTAATCAATACAATTTGGAACTAGTGAAATTAAAATGATGAAAATTTCCATTTATTAATCAGATATAAAAATTATTATCTATGTCTTCAAAGAAAATAAAAATGAAAATAGGTTGGTGGGAGTTGTTGAGAGGAGAATATGGTGTGTGCATTCAAGTTTTTTCTTACGATTTTTCTCCTCCTTCCCTCTATGGAGAAACCTTAATGGGGAGGCTAAATGATAGAGGTTTTTCTTAGATTACATTAACAATGTGTATTAGAAGTGGTAAGTAACACGATGCTTTTGATTTTCAAGCCAGAGACAGTAAGTTTTAAAATATAAGTGAATTGCTTTCATCTATTCACATTTTATTTTAAATTCCAAAACTACCATCCAATATTTGGAACAAGTTAAGCCAGGCATTAAGATTGGCAGCACTGGGGATTAAGCTATATCTTATGGAGGACCAGGAAAACTGTAGGAGCAAGAAAGCTAGAGAAACTTTGAAGAAAGTAACCCCTGTTTTCCTCTGATTCCTACTGCCATGAAGCAGGGGATGTGACCATCAGTGAGGGATTAAGGGCCCTTCCAGCCCTGAGACTGTTCCTTGTGGAAAAAAAAAATTTCCTAAAAATTAGTTTCAGTCAGTTCTCAAAATAAATTACAGCAAAATCAAAAAGATCTTGGTTTAAGTGATTTTTAACCTTTTCCTACAGCTTAGGGATTAATAAATGAAACAAACTACAATATCAGATGCAGTTACTTCAAAATCAGATGCATTAACTCATGTAACTTAGCCATTAAGTTTTTGTCTATATAGAACTGAAATCAATTATGTAGATATCCCGTTAAATAAGTATTTACTTAGAACCTATATGTTAGATGCCTTTGGTCAAGGGTGAAGAAATGGACAGAAATGATGAAGGAATAGTCTTTGTGCAGAAGAAACTCAGTGAAAATGATACTGATTGACCTTTCAACAAATGCACAGATTTAAAAAGAAAAAAAAGAGGCAAAAATTAGTTAGCAGAGTGATTCTGATACACAAAATAATTCTATGATGGTGTTGATTCTATAATAATAGCACATTTAAAATGAAATAGGAAAAGTTACATCATTTAATCCTCCTAACAATTGTTACATCTGGTATAGATTTTTTTTTGTTTGGTTGGTTATTTTAAGAAATGGGCTCCCACTATCTAATATATTTCAAGTCCTAGAAAGAAATATATATATATATTTTTTCATTCAGGAAGTCACAATGAGACACAGCACTAGAAAGATATATACTCTACTACCTAGCATTCTGCCTATCACATAGATTTTAGAAAATCTCTTTATTTCTTCAAATGGATTTGATTGAAAATGTCCAACCCCAAGTTGTCATAAGAATTTTGAGAATTAAACGTTCTTTGACGGTGAACCTTTGTCACTTAGTTGCAAGATCTCCAAAGCTCAGGATTCAATGCCTGATATCAGTGGCATCTGCATTTTACAATTTTGAGACATTTCATTTTTCAAAATTTCTATGAAAAGTTTATTACAATCAAATGTAATCTTTTTAAAGTGTTAAGAGCTTTTCAAAGGAAAAAATATGACTGTTCTTTGAGCTAACCTCTCTTCTAGATTAGCTTCTGAGCTGTTTCTAGATCTGCCTCTGAGCTGTTTCTAGATCCATTTGCAAGGTGGTATCAATAACTTCATGTTAGCTGGTTAGCAAAAGAAGCTATATAGTGCATCGTTGTAATACTAAGGCATCATATAGAAGATGTAATGAGATTGGTATGCTAGAATCATTTTCATTGACTTTATTGAAGGTAAAGACTTTATCATTTCCATCAATTTCTCCCTCTTTGACAATGCAAACTCTGCTCCAGAAAATGTTTATGACTTGTTGATCACATTCAGGGATTCTATTTCTGAATAATTGCTAAAACGTTTTTGAATTGAATATTAACTAATCGCAATGAAAATAAATTCATCTCATTTCAGTACCTCCTTGCTGAGGAATTGAGTTACTTGACACACAAATATATTAGATGTCATGCATTTTCTTCCTACTGTCTTTGGCTTCCTAAACAGAGTCACACTTGGTATCTTCAGAGAGACTATGGTCAATTTGACTTCAATGAGTGGATTCCTTCTTATGGGGTTTTCTGATGAGCGTAAGCTTCAGATTTTACATGCATTGGTATTTCTGGTGACATACCTGCTGGCCTTGACAGGCAACCTCCTCATTATCACCATCATTACCGTGGACCGTCGTCTCCATTCCCCCATGTATTACTTTTTAAAGCACCTCTCTCTTCTGGACCTCTGCTTCATCTCTGTCACAGTCCCCCAGTCCATTGCAAATTCACTTATGGGCAACGGTTACATTTCTCTTGTTCAGTGCATTCTTCAGGTTTTCTTCTTCATAGCTCTGGCCTCATCAGAAGTGGCCATTCTCACAGTGATGTCTTATGACAGGTACGCAGCAATCTGTCAACCACTTCATTATGAGACTATTATGGATCCCCGTGCCTGTAGGCATGCAGTGATAGCTGTGTGGATTGCTGGGGGCCTCTCTGGGCTCATGCATGCTGCCATTAACTTCTCCATACCTCTCTGTGGGAAGAGAGTCATTCACCAATTCTTCTGTGATGTTCCTCAGATGCTGAAACTAGCCTGTTCTTATGAATTCATTAATGAGATTGCACTGGCTGCATTCACAACGTCTGCAGCATTTATCTGTTTGATCTCCATTGTGCTCTCCTACATTCGCATCTTCTCTACAGTGCTGAGAATCCCATCAGCTGAGGGCCGGACCAAGGTCTTCTCCACCTGCCTACCACACCTATTTGTAGCCACCTTCTTTCTTTCAGCTGCAGGCTTTGAGTTTCTCAGACTGCCTTCTGATTCCTCATCGACTGTGGACCTTGTATTCTCCGTATTCTATACTGTGATACCTCCAACACTCAATCCAGTCATTTATAGCTTACGGAATGATTCCATGAAGGCAGCACTGAGGAAGATGCTGTCAAAGGAAGAGCTTCCTCAGAGAAAAATGTGCTTAAAAGCCATGTTTAAACTCTGAAGAACCATACAAATGAAAGGCATTGTTATTATGTTTCAGATTGGAAGAGAGGTGAATCTTATTTCTACCCAGAATGCTCTTCCAAGCTGTCTATTGTATATATTCCTCTCAAATATAATTCTTTAAAATTTAAGATGTTGTGCTCTAATAATATTAGCTTTCCTTCCTCCCTCCAATTCAAGTGTTATTTTAAGTCATCTTTGGAAAATTTTTCTGAAATGAAGGAGAAAGACAATTAGTTTGGAGTCTGGCCTGTATAATTTAAAACTTGTTATTAACAAATAAGGTTGGAGATAGATGAAGCTAACTGGGTTAATATTATGGTGCATATATGGTATTTCCAGTGGGCCTCCTAGTTTTCTATCCATATTAAGTATTCATATTAAGTTCTTTTACTATTATTACAGTGGTGATTTCAACAATTTATTCAGCCCCTAGTAAGTATCAAGTGCTTTATATATATACATTTTTTTGACTCAAGAAAACAACTCTTCTAGCTATAACATATTGTCCCCATTTTGCCAATAGGAACAATAAATTTAGGAAGGATTAGTTAATTTTCCTGAGATTTCTCAAATAAATGGTAGTTAAGCTCTGATTCAAATTAATATTTGTCTGACTCAAACAATAAGGTCATTTATGTTCCTTACTGATGGCAAATGCATTATTACCCAAATGTGAGTGTGTATGTTTATGTGTGTGTGTGATGTGTATAATCTATAAATATAAGCATATACTACTATAATCTATTAATAAAATTGTCATCACCCTTGTGCATCCCTATTACTGGAGGTATTTATATTAATTCCTTTACTTTTCTGATCTGTACAAGAGTTTGACAAATTGGTTTTACAGAGTTAGGCAGGGGATGCTCCCTAGTTCCATGAAACAGAATATAGATAAACTGCAAATGAAGAGTTCCAACTTATGAATGTGTGAGATAAGGAGGCACAAATCTTGTGAATCTGAATATCTGATTCAATTTTGTGTAATGCTGCAGATTTCTTCAAGAAAGACTCATAATTTACAAGAGTACAAAACTGGACTAGTCCCCTCAGTTTTGAAGTAAATCAAAGTGCATGTTTTAATGACAAAGGGAATAAGCAATTGCTCAGTAATGGGGAATGTTTTTATAGGACTTTTTTGAATTAATGGTTATAATATCTACATATGCATATACCTTAGTAAGTTTTTTTTTCTTTAATCTGCCACATGAGATTTTTTCTTTTTTTTATATACTTTAAGCTCTGGGGTACATGTGCAGAACTTGCAGGTTTGTTACGTAGGTATATACATGCCATGGTGGTTTGCTGCACCCATCAACCTGTCAACTACGTTAGGTATTTCTCCTAATGCTATCCCTCCCTTACCCCCTCACCCCCAAACAGGCCCCAGTGTGTGATGTTCCCCTACCTGTGTCCATGTGTTCTCATTGTTCAGCTCCTACTTATGAGTGAGAACATGCAATGTTTAGTTTTATGTTCTTGTGTTAGTTTGCTGAGAATGATGGTTTCCAGCTTCATCCATGTCCCTGCAAAGGACATGAAATCATCTTTTTTATGGCTGCATAGTATTCCATAGTATTCCATGGGTGTATATGTGCCACCTTTTCTTTATCCAGTGTATTATTGATGGGCATTTGGGTTAGTTTCAAGTCTTTGCTATTGTGAACAGTGCCACAATAAACATACGTGTGCATGTGTCTTTATAGTAGAATGATTTATAATCCTTTGGGTATATACCCTGTAAAGGGATTCCTGGGTCAAATGGTATTTTTGGTTCTAGATCCTTGAGGAATCGCCACACTGTTTCCACAATGGTTGAACTAGTTTACAGTCCCACCAACAGTGTAAAAGTGTTCCTGTTTCTCCACGTCCTCTCTAGCATCTGTTGTTTCCTGCCTTTTTAATGATAGCCATTCTAACTGGCATGAGATGGTATCTCATTATGGTTTTGATTCACATTTCTCTGATAACCAGTGATGATGAGCTTTTTTTCATATGTTTGTTGGCCACATAAATGTCTTATTTTAAAAAGTGTCTGTCAGGCCGGGGCATTGGCTCATGCCTGTAATCCCAGCATTTTAGGGGGCCGCAGCAGGCAGATCACGAGGTCAGGAGATTGAGACCATCCTGGCTAACATGGTGAAACTCCATCTCAACTAAAAATACAAACACTTAGCTGGGCGTGGTGCCATGAACCTGTAATCCCGGCTACTCAGGAGGCTGAGGCAGGAGAATCGCTTGAACCTGGAGAATCCCAAAAGTGTCTGTTCACATCCTTCGCCCACATTTTGATGGGGTTGTTTGTTTTTTTCTTGTAAATTTGTTTAAATTCTTTGTAGATTCTGGATATTAGCCCTTTGTCAGATGGATAGATTACAAAAATTTTCTCCCATTCTGTAGGTTGCCTATTCACTCTGCTGATGATTTCTTTTCCTGTGCAGAAGCTCTTTAGTTTAATTTGATCCCATTTGTCAATTTTGGCTTTTGTTGTCATTGCTTTTGATGTTTTAGTCATGAAGTCTCTGCCCATGCCTAAATCCTGAATGGTATTGCCTAGGTTTTCTTCTTGGGTTTTTATGGTTTTAGGTCTTACGTTTAAGTCTTTAATCCATCTTGAGTTAATTTTTGTATAAGGTATAAGGAAGGAGTCCAGTTTCAGTTTTCTGCATATGGCTAGCCAGTTTTCTCAACAGCATTTATTAAATAGGGGATTCTTTCCCCATTGCTTGTTTTTGTCAAGTTTGTCAAAGATCAGATGGTTGTAGATGTGTGGCATTATTTCTGAGGCCTCTGTTCTGTTCTGTTGGTCTATATATCTGTTTTGGCACCAGTAACATGCTGTTTTGGTTACTGTAGCTTTGTAGTATACTTTGAAGTCAGGTAGCATGATGCTTCCAGCTTTGTTCTTTTTGCTTAGGATTATCTTGGCTATGTGGGCTCTTGTTTGGTTCCATATGAAATTTAAAGTAGTTTTTTCCTATTCTGTGAAGAAAGTCAATGGTAACTTGATGGGGATAGCATTGAATCTATAAATTACTTTGGGCAGTATGGCCATTTTTCATGATATTGATTCTTCCTACCCATGAGGATGGAATGTTTTTCCATTTGTTTGTGCCCTCTCTCCTTGAGCAGTGGTTTGTAGTTCTCCTTGAAGAGGTCCTTCACATACCTTGTAAGTTGTATTCCTGGGTATTTTATTCTCTTTGTAGCAGTTATGAATGGGAGTTCACTCATGATTTGGCTCTCTGTTTTTTTTATTATTGGTGTATAGGAATGCTTGTGGTTTTTGCACATTGATTTTGTATCCTGAGACTTTGCTGAAATTGCTTATAAGCTTAAGGAGATTTTGGGCTGAGACGATGGGGTTTTCTAAGTATAGAATCATGTCATCTGCAAACAGAGACAATTTGAATTCCTCTCTTTCTATTTGAATACCTTTTATTTTTTTCTCTTGCCTGATTGCCCTGGCCAGAACTTCCAACATTATGTTGAATAAGAGTGGTGAGAGAGGGCATCCTTGTCTTGTGACAGTTTTCTCAGGGAATGCTTCCAGGTTTTGCCCATTCAGTATGATATTGGCTGTGAGTTTGTCATAGATAGCTTTTATTATTTTGAGATACATTCCATCAATATCTAGTTTATTGAGAGTTTTTAGCATGAAGGGCTGCTGAATTTTGTCGAAGGCCTTTTCTGCATCTATTGAGATAATCATGTGGTTTTTGTCATTGGTTCTGTTTATGTGATAGATTCCATTTATTGATTTGCATATTTGAATCAGCTTTGCATCCCAGGAATGAAGCTGACTTGATCATGGTAGATGAGCTTTTTGATGTGCTGCTGGATTCGGTTTGCCAGTATTTTATTGAGGATTTTCACATCAATGTTCATCAGGGATATTGGCCTGAAATTTTCTTTTTTTGTTGTGTCTCTGCCAGGTTTTGGTATCAGGTTGATGCTGGCCTCATAAAATGAGTTATGGAGGATTCCCTCTTTTTCTATTGTTTGGAATATTTTCAGAAGGAATGGTACCAGCTCCTTTTTGTACTTGCGGTAGAATTCGTCTGTGAATCTGTCTGGTTCTGGGCTTTTCTTGGTTGGTAGGCTATTAACTACTACCTCCATTTCAGAACTTGTTATTGGTCTATTCAGGCATTAGACTTCTTCCTGGTTTAGTCTTGGAAGGGTTTATGTGTCCAGGCATTTATCCATTTTTTCTAGATTTTCTAGTTTATTTGCATAGAGATGTTTATAGTATTCCCTGATGGTAGTTTCTATTTCTGTGGGATCAGCAGTGATATGCCATTTATCATTTTTATAGTGTCTATTGATTTTTCTCTCTTGTCTTCTTTATTAGTCTGGCTAGCAGTCTACTTTGTTAATTATTTCAAAAAAACCAGCTCCTGGATTCATTGATTTTTTGAATTTTTTTGTGTGTGTCTCTATCTCCTTCATTTCTGCTCTGATCTTAGTTATTTCTTGTCTTCTGCTAGCTTTTGAATTTGTTTTCTCTTGTTTCTCTAGTTGTTTTAATTGCGATATTAGAGTGTCGATTTTAGATCTTTCCTGCTTTCTCCTGTGGGCATTTAGTGCTATAAATTTCCCTTTAAACACTGCCTTAGCTGTACTCCTGCAGCTAGCTCAGTCTCTGCGCAAACAGCCGCCCAGTTTTGTGCTTGAAACCCAGGACCCCAGTAGCGTAGGCACCCAAGGGAATCTACTGTTCTGTGGTTTGCGAAATCCATGGGAAAAGCGTAGTATCTGGGCTGGAGTGCACTGTTCCTCATGGCTCAGTCCCTCATGGCTTCCCTTGGCTAGGGGAGGGAGTTGTCTGACCCCTTGCGCTTCCCGGGTGAGGCGATGCCCCACCCTGCTTCGGCTAGCCCTCCCTGGGCTGCACCCACTGTCTAACCAGTCCCTGTGAGATTAGTCGGGTATCTCAGTTAGAAATGCAGAAATCATCTGGCTTCTGCATTGATCTCAGTGGGAGCTGCAGACCGAAGCTGTTTCTATTCCACCATCTTTCCAGCCACCCACACTGATTTCTAAAGTAGTTGTTCCATATTATATTCCCTAGATAATCAAGAATTGTTATAAAGGGCTGGGCGTGGTAGCTCACGCCTGTAATCCCAGCACTTTGGGAGGCCGAGGTGGACGGATGACGAGGTCAGGAGATCAAGACCATCTTGGCTACCTTGTCAGGTGTTTTGAAAAACTTTTAGCTTTTTAAACACATTCATGGTGATATATATCGATGAGTTTATTTTGTATTGCCCTGTTCAACAAGGTTGAACATCTTTTCATGGACTTATTAGTTATTTGTGTGTCTTCATTTGTGAAGTTTTTGCTCAGACACTTGGCCCATTTTTAAAACAAGTTGTTAATCTTTCTATTATGAAGACATTTACATATGTGTGTATATATGTATATATACTGGATAAAAATCTTTTGTCAGATACACGTATTACAGATGTTTTTTCTAATCTCCTGTGATTGTCTTTTTTTTCCATCAGGTTCTTTTGGAGAGTAAAACTTTAAAAATTTTGATGTAGTTCAATCTATCAACTTTGTGTTTTATAATTCATGTTTGGTGTCCTATCTTCCAAAAATACCTTCTTTAAAATTACAAAGTTTTTTTTCTTTTGAGACAGGGTCTCACTCTGTCACCCAGGCTGGAGTGCAGTGGTGCAATCTTGGCTCACTGCAACCTCCGCCTCCTGGTTCAAGCAATTCTCGTGCCTCAGACTCTCAAGTAGCTGAGATTACAAGTGTGTGCTGCTATGCTGGCTCATTTTCTTTCTTTCTGTCTTTTTTGTTTGTTTGTTTGTATTTTTAATAGAGATGGGATTTCAGTATGTTGGCCAGGCTGGTTTTGAACTCCTCACCTCAAATGATCCACCTGCCTTGGCCTCCTAATATGCTGGGATTACAGGCATGAGCCACCGCGCCCGGCCTAAAATTATAAAGGTATTTTTCTATGTGACCATTTAGAAAATGAATAGTTTTAGCTTCTATATTAATTAAGTCTGTGATCCTTATTGAGTTAATTTTTGAGTGTAGTATAAAGTGAGTGTTAATGATCATTCTTTTTCTATACAGATATATAGTTTTTAGTGTGATTTATTGAAAAGACATTATTTTCCCCCATTGATTTGCCTTAGCACCTTGTCAATATATGGGCTTACTATTCTTTTTCATTGATCTATGTGTTTATTTTTAACTAATACCATACCATACTGATTTCAGCAACTTTATAACGATTTTTTTTTGAGACGGAGTCTTGCTCTGTCGCCCAGGCTGGAGTGCAGTGGCACCATCTCGGCTCACTGCAAGCTCCGCCTCCTGGGTTCACGCCATTCTCCTGCCTCAGCCTCCTAAGTAGCTGGGACTATAGGCGCCCACCACCATGCCTGGCTAATTTTTTTGTATTTTTAGTAGAGACGGGGTTTCACCGTGGTAGCCAGGATGGTCTCGATCTCCTGACCTCGTGATCCGCCCACCTCGGCCTCCCAAAGTGCTGGGATTACAGGCATGAGCCACCACGCCGTGCCCTTTATAACAATTCTTGAAGTCAGGTAGTTTAATGCCTCTAATCTTTTGATTTTCTAGGCTTTGATTTTCCAAGTCTTCTGCATTTCCATATACACTTTAGAATTAGCTTGTTAATTCGTACTAAAAAGAAGCATGCTGGCATTTTTATTAGGATTGCATCAAATCTATAGATCATTTCTGAGAAAATAGAAGTCTTAATATTGAGTCATTTAATTCATAAACACAACATAGCTTCCCATTTTTTAGGTCTTTAATTTCTTTCAGTAACGTTACATGGCTTTCAGTGAGGCAGTCTTGTTCCTTTATTAAATTTATTACTAATTATTCACATTTTAAGTTTTGAATACAAAAATTACACTTCATGCTCCTTAAATTGTTTCAAATGTTGTAGAAATAACATTAAAATAAGAATTTCCTCTTTAATAGTGATTCCTAGAGGTTATCACTATTTTAATTTTGATATATATATATAGACAAAATTGCATATATTATTTCTTTTTTCCTTTTATTATGTGGTTGGATCTCAAGTGCAGAAGGTTGAGTTCATTACATTTATCAGTTCATGGCACCCTGTCCTCATTAATATGTGCACGATCTCTCTCATCTTACTTTATTTAAAACATTTCTTTCCTGTCTGTTTCTACTACCATTCCCCCTAAGGAAAACAATTATTATAAGTTTCATGTGTAACATTTTATGGGCTCTTAATTTCTATTAGTATTGTTGTTTTAGGATATTTTATTCTATAAAATAGTATTACATTATAATCTTATTCAGTTTCTTACTTTTTTTCACTCAGCACACTACTTTTAAGAGCTATCACGTTACAATGTCTACATCTAGCCCACTTTTTCTAAAAACTGCATTTTTTTGATGTTGTACATCCTCAACCTTCGCAAATCTGCTCTCCCGTTGATGGACATCTGGGTTGCTTCTAATTCCCCATTACCATAAATTATGCCAAACAACTGTTGTTATGGACCTGTGTAAGGATTTATTTAGGATATATACCTGGAAGCAAAATTGCTCAGGTCCAATATATGAGAGACTTAATTTGAATTTTTATACCCAGAATGTGCTCCAGAATGCTTCCATGAGGCTACACTCCTACCAGCGGGGCAGACGTGTTCCTGTCATTTCCTCACCTGTCCCAATTCTTGGCACTACCCTGCTTTCTAATACTTACTACTCAAATAGAATACAATGTTACCTCACTTTTAAACTTTGGAGAAATTTTAAACCTGTAAAAAATTTGTAAAAACAATACAGAGGCTTCTCTTTTTATCCCTCACCTTGTTTCCCTAATGTTACTATCTTAACAAAATCATAACACTTCTCTCTTTATAAAATAGCCTAAATAGCTTGAGGTGTTTTTTTATTTTTGTTTTTTCGCTTTTAACTTTTTGGAACACTTTTTGCTCATATCTCTCGATCTGCTTTCTTATGCCTGTGCTAGCGTATAATAAAACTATAATAATAATAATGACATGTAATAAGTACTACTTATGCCAAGGATTATTCTAGGCTTCAAAGGTATTATTGTGTTCAACATTTACAATAAATCTTGTGAGGCAAATAATATTGATATTCCTACTTTAAAGATAAGGAAATTAAGGCACAGGTCACTAATCAACTTATCTACAGTCACTAGCAAACTACTAGCTAACCTGGGACTCAAACTCAAGGCAGTTTGGCCCCCAAGTTTTCATTCTTTACCACTATGGTATTTTAAGGAAAAATTCGATATTATTTTATGAATATAGTTTTGCTTCTCTTTTTTTCAGTTGCAAAAGACCTAACGCATCTGATATATCAAAATATATCAGTCAACCATTATGCAGAAAAGGGTTAACTTTTCATGTCTGTGTTGCAGAACCCTGTATATTCCCAAGAAAGGCCTATATTCAGGACTGGCCCTTGGCAGGCTCCTGGAAGAGGAGCTCTAAGTTCTTTGAATATCCTGCCTAATAAAATGTTTTTTTTTAAATAATTTGTTTTATTGGGTCACAATATAAATTTGATCAGATAGATTATGCTAACAAGGTGATTTATGGTGCCTATTTTTGCTCTGGTGGGCTGGGGTCTGAGTAGCTGAGGTCAGTTACACAGGTGCCGTATGCCTACCTGACTGATCCCCCATAAAAACCTTCTACATCAAACTTGAGTGAACTTCCTGGTTGGCATTATTCTGCATGTGTTATCGTACCATTGATGGCACAATTAAGCACATCAATGTAACTCACTGGAAGAAAACACCTGGAAGCTTATTCCTGGTTTCTCCTAGACTCCCGGCACCTCATGCACTTTTTCCCTTTGTTCATTTTTAATATGATAACTTTTCAATACTAACAGGGACACAAATATGCACATAACACATTATGCCATGTCTTATATCTTTCTTGAGTTGACGTTCTATGAGATATATTATCACATCAACACATGAGTTAAAATTGTCCTATTATCCATACCTTTCAATGCTGTCCATGTTGTTAAATTATAGCAGCTTTCTATTTTGATTTATAAATGGACAGGGATATATCAGTAAGACACTACCAGAGTAGTGCAGTGAATATGCATGCATTCTTACATGTTTACAGAGAGAGATAGGAAAATAAAAGGAAAGGAATGGGATGGAAAGAAAAGGAAAGAAATAAATAAATGAAAGAAAAGAAAATGAAAGAATAAGAAAGGAAAGGGAAGGAATGCCAGCCTTTCCCTAAAGACACATGACACAACTTGAGACCAAAAGTCATAGCATTATAAACAGAATCCCTACGTTTATAACTCTTTCTGTTTGATTTTTACCCTCAGAAGGAAGATTACAAAAAACAATGCAACTGAAATTCATACTTCATAATAATGGTTAAAGCAATAACCATTAATAGTTCATAAGATTTGAGTCCAATAACTTTTAAAGGCATAATTCTTTATGAGCGTATTTTATTTCCCTTTATGCGCAGCTCTAGGCTCCTTTTCCTACTTCCCTGTTTCTAAAAGGTATCCACTATACATTTCTGAAAAATTATGTTTTTGCCTTTGACATCTAAAGCTTCCTGATATAATGTGAAATCATTCTTCAAAGTAGGTTTAGCAATTTACACCCTTACCAACCTTGTATATGAGCTCTCAGAGCTTTACATACTTATCCAACGAGTTACTACTCTAAGGATACTGACAGATACAGCACACTCTACTTTTAATTTGCTTTTTCTATCTTATTAGACATTTTTGTTTGTGTGTTTACTAGGCATTTGGATTTGTTTGCAGACTTTTGCTCATTTTCATTTTGGCCATTTTCTTTTTCTTATTTTTAAGGGAATTATGTGTCTCTTTAGAATACTAAACTGTGCCACTTAATAGAAGTGGCAGATATCCCTTTCCCTTCTGTAGCCTGATTTTTCATTCATTCTGTGGTTTCCTTTGATGTGAAGATGCTCTAATTTTAGATTGCAGAATTATTAAAATAAGTCTTTCTCTCTATGCTAAAGTCTTTTTTAGTTCTTTTGTTAAGGAATGTTTTCCACTCCCAAGGACATAAAGATAATCACTTTATAGGTACTTTAAAAAGTTTTAAAGTTTTGACTTTAATATTTCAATCTTTAATCCACCTGAAACTCATTTTTAGATACACTCATAGTGAGAAATATTTCAATCTATCTTTCTTTTCTTAATGTGGAAAACCAATTGCCCCAGTGCCATTTACTGACTTGCAATGTGTGTGTGTGTGTGTATGTATATATATATATATACATACACACACAGATCTCTTTGGTGTCCTCTCTTTTTGTCCACTCATCTACCTGTCTGTTCCTGTGCTAACACTGTACTGTCTTATTTCCTATACATTGTAAATCTTGCTATTAGAACAAATCTCTGAATTTTATTCCTGTTTTTTTTACTTTTTTTTGTTATCTTGCACTCTTCCCTCTTTGCATAAATGTGAGAATTGGTGCAATAAATTTTTTTATAAATTAAAAGTATCTTTTAATTAAAATTTCATTGACTCTATATGTTAGCAAAAAAATAAAGTTACTAAAGATAACTCCTCAACCATTATCAAGGTAAATATCCATGTTTATTTAGATCTTCTCTAATGTATTTCAGTAAAGTTTTATAATATTCTGTGTAAAGCTTTTCTATGTTCTATTAGATTTACATCTGGACATTATTACTTTGGTAGTTATCAAAATTATGTTTTCCAAACTACATTTTACTCTTTGTTGCTGGTATATAGAAATATACCAATTTGATACCTGGGCCAAGGGATTTGCTAAATTATCTCATTTTTCTAATGTTTTATCTGCAGATTCTTAGGGATTTTTTTTTTTTTCTTGAGACGGAGTCTCGCTCTGTGGCCCAGGCTGGAGTGCAGTGGCGCGATCTCAGCTCACTGCAAGCTCCACGTCCCGGGTTCACGCCATTCTCCTGCCTCAGCCTCCGGAGTAGCTGGGACCACAGGCGCCTGCCACCACGCCCGGCTAATTTTTTTGTATTTTTAGTAGAGACGAGGTTTCACTGTGTTAGCCAGGATGGTCTCGATCTCCTGACCTCGTAATCCACCCGCCTCGGCCTCCCAAAGTGCTGGGATTACAGGCATGAGCCACCGCGCCCGGCCAGGGATTTTTTTAAGTAGGGAAATATAGCTCCTATAATTAAGGAAAGTTTTTAAACTTCCATTCTAGTTCCTATGAATTTTCTTTATCTTAATGCACCAGCTAAAACAATCAAAACAGTGTGGAATTAAAGTGATAACAAGTGGCAGTCATGTCTTGTTCTCACTGAGTACATGTTTTGACCTAGGTTTTAGATGGACAACTGTTTCATTTATCTATTTTTGTATAAGGAGACATCCCAAAACAGTGACTTCAAACAATAACTATTTAACTTATTTACTTTAGCAGAGCTTGGTAAAGACAGCTTGCCACTGTTCCAATAAAGTTAGTATTAGGTTTTACCTAGAAGTCTAGCTAGAGCTGTTGGCTGGTCCTCCATATGGTTCTCCATATGACCTTTCCACATGGCTAGGTTGGGCTCCTCACAAAATGATGGCTAGGTTCCAAGGATAATCTGAAGAACCGGTGTTTGAAGAATATAAGCCACAGGTACAACCATTTATCAAGCCTCTGCTTAGATCTGTCACATTGGTCAAACTTATCACATGGCCAACTGTGGAGTAAGTCATTGTGAAACAAACGTGAGTACTGGGGGCATGGTTCCTTGAGCCCACTAAAGTACTGATCTACCCCAGGAGCCTTTATTAAATTGACAAAGTCCCTTCTTATTTCAGGTCTGCTAAACTTTTCATCATAAATATATGCTGACTTGTATGCAATGTTTCTTTTTCCTATGTCTATTAAGACCATCATACAGTTTTAATTCTTTTATTCATCATTTATTCATGTGAATTTATTGGAACTCCAACTGAAAATCCAGTAGTGATGAATTAGACAAAGTTTTCATATTCATGAAGTGCAATCTATAGTGGTAGAGAAACCACTAACAAATAAACATGTAAGCATGAACCGGGTTAGATGGCAACACACATTACAGAGCTAAAGAAAGCAAGGCAAGTGACATAGTGCAGGAAACAAACTATTTCATATTGTAAAGTTTTCACTAATAGCACCACATGTAAAAATAAAGCTTAAATACAGTTAGCTAATTGAGTATCTGAGGAAAAACATTCCAAGCAGAGAAACCAATGCAAAGTCCAGAGATAGGAGCATTCTTAGAATGTATAATTAATAGCAAGGAAGCCAGTATATTTTTTAAATTGTTCTTCATCATTACTAAATTATATTCACTATTTTTTCAAACCTATTGGCATAACGTTTCATAATTTATTCTTTTATCTTATCTTATTTTTGTGGTTACCTGAAGTTACATTTCCTTTCAATCCCTAATATTATTAATTTGTGCATTATCAGCTATTATTCTTAAAAGATTTTGCCAGAAATTTGACATTTAATATCTTTCCCTCTATTGTTCTTAATTTCAATAACTCTTGCTCTTATCGTAACACTGTATCATTTCTTCCACTTATTTTGAAATTTTTCCATTTGTATTTGTAATTTTTCACATTAGAGACTTAGCTAGTTAACATTTATTTTTTTCTTTTTTAATGTAAGTATTTATGGCTAAAATTATCATTAAAATCAGTTTAGCATATTTGTCATAAATTTGGTGATGTTTATATGTGATGTGATTCTTGATACTTGATTCTATGCCATAGTTCTAGTTAGTTATCATAGCTTTGTAAGTTTTGATATCCAGTGGTGTGACTTCTCCAACTTGGTTTTTCTTCATGTCATTGTGGCTTTTGGTTGCATGCATTTAGATATTAATAGAATCATTTTGTGAATTTCCATAAAGCCAAAAACCTGCTTGCATTTTACTGAGAATCACAATGAATTTAAACATAAATTTGGGAAGAATTGACTTCTTAGCAATATTGAAACTTCCACTTTATAAAAATGTAATATTCCTTGATTTATTTGTCTATTTAAAATTTTTTTAGTAATCGTTTGTAGTTTTCAATGTAGAGATTTTGCCAATATTTAATTAAATTTGTTCCTAAATATTGGGAGGCTTTTGATGCTACTAAAATTTTATGGCCTTTGTATTTTATTTAGTTTACTATTTAATTCTAATAGTTTAGGTATATTTCCTTTCCAGATCTTTATGTACCCAACCACATCATCTATTTTCAAATTTTATACCTTCTTTGTCATTTTCCTGGCTCTATTGGGCTACTGAGAAGAAATATTGACAGTAGTCATTCTTATCTTATTTCTTAACCTATAGTGGAAATTTAAAGTATTTCATCAAGTATGATATATACTGTAGCTTTTATGTAGAGTCTTTTCTTCAGATCAAACATTCCCTTTTCATCTGAGTATGCTCAGTAATTCAGCGATTTTATCTTTAGTAAATGTTAAATTTTTTCAAATGTTTTGCTGTATCTATTGGAATGGTTAAAGTTATTTTTCGTCTGTGTGTATGTCTGTGTGTGTGTGTGTATAATGTCTTCGTTTAATTTTGTTATCAAGTTGATACTGGCCTCATAAGACAAATTGGAAGTGTTTCTTCTTCCCTATTTCCTGGACAATTTTGTGTAATAAAATTTTATCTATCTATTTATTTATTTATTTTTAAACATTTTATTTTGACATAATTTCAAGGTTACATAGAGATTATCAGAATAGAACAAATAATACTCATATATCCTTTACCCAGATTCACAAATTATTAACATTTTTGCCCTAGTTGCTTTATCATTTACTCTTTTAATAAACATTTTTTTAACCTTTTGAACAATGTGTATTTCCTAAGAACAGACATTCTCTTGCATAACTAGTAAAATGACCAATAATAAAAAAATACCATTCATACAATAATATTATGTCATCCAGAGTCAATATTCAAATTTAATCCATTATCCAAATGATATCCTATATTGATTTTATTTCCTAGTCTAAAATTCAACTCAGGAATAAAAATTTCACTTAGTGGTCATGTCCTTTGAGGGTCTTTTAATCTGGATTAGCTCCTCAGTCTTTTCTCTTATAACGTTGGCAGCTTGGAGTTCCTGTTATTTTGTAGAATGTCACTCAGTTTGGGTCTGTCTGATATTTCCTCTGATTAGATCTAGGTCATAAATGTCATATAGGAAAATAGACATGAGATTGTCTTCTCAGCACATTACATCGGAAGGCACATGTTGATCTGTCCCATTACTGGTGATATTAGCTATAATCAGTTGGCTAAGATGGTTCTGCCAGGTTTCTCCATTATAAATTTACTATTTTCCCCTTAGTAATTTATAAGTAATTTGTGGAGAGGTACTTTGACAATACATAAATATTCTTTATTCCCCAAACTTTGACCTACTCATTTAAGTATTCACTGATAATTTTTGCTTAAATTTTTGCTTATAATTTTTATTATAATTGTAGCAAAATGGTGATTTTCTAAGTCTACCATCTCTTTCACATTTATTAGTTGATGTGCTACTTAAAGATATTAAATCCCCTTCTATTAAACAATTTTTTTAATTTATTTTTTATTTCAATAGGTTTTTGGGGAACAGATGGTGTTTGGTTACATGAATAAGGTCTTTAGTGGTGATTTTTGAGATTTTGGTAAACTCATCACCCAAGCAGTGTACACTGTACCCAATATGTAGTCTTTTATCCCTCACCCTGCTCCCACCCTTTCCCCTGAGTCCTCAAAATCCATTCTGTCATTCTTAGGCCTTTGCATCCTCATAGCTTAGCTCCCACTTATGAATGAGAACATGTGATGTTTGGTTTTCCATTCCTGAGTTACTGCACTTAGAATAATGGTCTCCAATTCCATCTCAGTTGCTGTGAATGCCATTATTTTGTTCCTTTTAATGGCTGAATAGTACTCCATGGTGTATACGTATACATCTCCCATATGTTCTTTATCCACTCATTGATTGATGGGCATTTGGACTGGTTACATATTTTTGCAGTTGCAAATTGTGCTGCTATAAACATGTGTGTGCAAGGAATCTTTTTCATATAATGACTTCTTTTCCTCTGGATAGATACCTAGTAGTGGGATTGCTGGATCAACTGGTAGTTCTACCTTTAGTTCTTTAAGGAATCTCCACATTGTTTTCCATAATGGTTATACTAGTTTACATTCCCACCAACAGTGTAAAAGTGTTCCCTTTTCACCACATCCACGCCAACATCTATTATTTTTTGAATTTTTGATTATGGCCATTCTTGCAAGAGTAACGTGGTATCACACTGTGGTTTTGATTTACATTTCCCTGATCATTAGTGATGTTGAGCATTTTTCCATATGCTTGTCGGCCATTTGTATATCTTCTTTTGAGAGTTGTCTATTCCTGTCCTTAGCCCAATTTTTGATAGGATTCTTTGTTTTCTTCTTGCTGATTTGTTTGGGTTCTTCGTAGATTCTGGATATTAGTCCTTTGTCAGATGTATAGATTGTGAATATTTTCTCCCACTCTGTAAGTTGTCTGTTAACTCTGCTGATTATTTCATTTGCTGTGCAGAAGCTTTTTAGTCCTATCTATTTATCCTTGTTTTTGTTGCATTTGCTTTTGGGTTCTTGGTCATGAAATCGTTGCCTAAGCCAATATCTAGAAGGGTTTTTCTGATGTCATGAGTTTTTATGGTTTCAGGTCTTAGATTTAAGTATTTGACTCATTTTCAGTTGATTTTTGTATAAGGTGAGAGATGATGATCCAGTTTCATTCTCCTATATGTGGCTTGCCAATTATCCCAGCACCATTTGTTGAACAGGGTGTCCTTTCCCCACTTCCTGTTTTTCTTTGCTTTGTCAAAGATCAGTTGGCTGTTAAGTATTTGGTTTTATTTTTGGGTTATTTATTCTGTTCCATTAGTCTATGTGCCTATTTTTAGACCAGTACTGTGCTGTTTTGGTGACTATGGCCTTACAGTATAGTTTGAAGTTGGATAATGTGATGCCTCCAGATTTGTTCTGTTTGCTGAGTCTTGCTTTGAATATGCAGGCTCTTTTTAGGTTCCATATCAATTTTAAAATTGTTTTTCTAATTCTGTGAAGAATGGTGGGGGTATTTTGATGGGAATTGCATTGAATCTGTAGATTGCTTTTGGCAGTATGGTCATTTTCAAAATATTGATTCTACCCATCCATGAGCATAGGATGTGTTCCCATTTGTTTGTCTTGTCTATGATTTCTTTGTAATAAAATTTTAAACAAAACATTAATGGACATAATATGTAGCACCATTAAGTGTCCATTTTTGAGTCACTCTGCTAAGCACTTTACAGAATTATTTATTCAATATGCTCATTTTACAGATGCAGAAAGATTAAGCGACTAAAGTCACCTCACAAAGGATAAATGGTAGCACTAGAATTAAACCCAAGCAATCTGACTGTAGTTGTTATGTACTTATATATGATACAGTATGCCTTCTATTATTAAGTATAAAAAATAACAAATGATAAATTCCTCATGTTGGCTAGACTGAGGGAGAACAATACTGGAAGCAATATAATATTTTACAATAATTTTAGAGAGGAATTTATCAATATTTAAATGCATACAGTTTTAGAAATAAACTTAAACTGAATAATCTTATATTCTTTAATTTTAAGGAAAAAACCAACTGCAGAAAATGCAATATTTATAAATACGCTTATGCTATCACTTAGTTGTTATGTTATTCATAATTAAGAAAAAATATTAATAGAGCTATTTAACCTGGTTTGTTGAATGTGATAATGATTACAGAAAACATTGACTAATGCTGCTTATAATAATGAAAAACTGGAAAAGTGACTGGTATACAATAGGCAATCAATAAATATTTGTTAAATAAATAAAGAAAATTTTTCTGCAAATTGTGAATTGTTATCTGAGCAGAATGCTATGTAGCCTTTAAAAAAATAATGTATATCCACATAGCTTCAGAGGAATTTTTGTAACAATTATATTATTATTAAAAATACTAAAATGTGTATACAAGATGGTGAGACAACTCCAAAATATAAAACAACATTATGGACTTACCTTTATTTCTAAGTACTTACAAAGTTGTTGCAAAAATTTTAATATACATATTAATGGATTTAGCTATCATATGAGATTTGCAGATATTGTTGCTAGATTTGTTTTTGAATATTTCAGTAGATATTTCTGATTGTTAGAGATCATAATTTATGACCAAAATAGCTGTTCTAAATCTAATTTTGACACAAAGGCTCAAATTTGTAGCATAAAAAAATGTTAAGTACTGACTTCTAGTTTTCCAGGAGGTCTGGCATTAGAGATCCATTAATTTTTAAAGGGTTAAATGTTCCTGTTTCTTTTTTGGAAATATGTGATTTAGAGTGCATTGATTCTCCAAGTTTGGCTCTTGGACTAGCAGCAGCAGTACCTGGGTGCTTGTTAGGCATTCAAATTCATGAGTGCCATTCCAGACCTACTGAATCAGAATTCATGAGTTTGAGGCTTAGACTTAGGTCCTTATGTTTTAACAAGATCTTCAGGCAACTCAAATGTCTGCTAAAATTTGAGAACCAATGCTAAGGATGACAAAACCCCATAACTTACTAAACTATTTCCCTTCTATATGAAAATTTTAAGGGCTCCAAATTCCAGGTGTTAGAAGAGTACGAAATTGAAATATTTTTATCATATAGTCCAGACTTCCAGTATGAAAGACGTAAAATAAAAAAAGTCCTGAATCTTCTAAGGAAACAATATGTTTAAAAGTATCTGAGAGTAGATTTGAGAGTTTTAAAAAAAACTGTTTTTAAAGACGTAAAGTAGAGCTATGAGCTCACCAAAGTCCACTGAAGTTCGCCAAAGAGCTGAGTTACTTCAGCTCTCATGAGACCAGTAATTTTTGCTTGACGAAGGTATTTGGCAAGAAAATAATTCCACAATAACACATTTAAAGATACCTAGAACATTGAAAAAAATTCTCAAATTAAGATAATATAGCTTAATTCCCAAGAACTTATTTCATCTCTTTTGTTACTAATCTAGAAGGTCAGGAGTGTGGTAAAGGCAGTGTCTGATAAGGTTATGAGCTTCCAAAGAGTTTCTACATTTTTAGTGCAGACACTCTCCCTTTGGGGGCAAAGTACGGTTTCTCCCATCCCTATTAAAAAGAAAACAGTTAAACTAAGTTATCAGAATGAGATATTTTGACTCTTAACAATTTACACTCAAGGCTTTATGCTGAGTTGTCTTGTTCTAATCAAGCATGAAGGTGTCAAGCACAAAGCACGTGGCAAACGAAAGACACTCCCGCCTCATTCTGAAAACAAATACTGATAACCAACCCCACCCTCTTACCATTTCAGGCCAACCCATCTTATGATACTGGGACCAACTTGAAATAATTTAGAGGTATATTTAGGTTTCCCTCTCCCTTACTTCAGTAAAAGATCATTTTAGAATAACTTTATTCCTTTCCTAAGGGAAAGACAAAAAAGTTTCCATCCCGTCAGAACATACGGGGAGAGAAAACACACAGGCCCAGAGGTGGGAAGGTGTGTGACAGTCCATAACCCATTACACAACGATGCAACCAAAGGCTAAACCATGAGTTGAATATAGTTTTAATATTAAAAATAGGAACTAGTTATCATCCAAATGAACCACTGGAAAAAATATTACCATTACTTTAAAAAATACATTCCAATATTGGAAATAATCTGAAAACACTTTCCAGTAGTAACAATCCTCCTTAATATGAGGGACAAAAAAAAAGACCAGGCTTTGACCAAGTCCTTAGAGCATATTTCCATTTCATGATTTATATTCAAGAACCAAGCAACAAGCTGGACAGCTGCCTCTGTAACACTGTGTCCAATAGTGGTGTCCCAGATAGTTTAAGTGCCACTCGTCATTAGATGTTATACTTCAGCAATACTTCCAATTTTAAGTCTGTACTTTAAGAGGGACCCACAGGAACTCAGCACCAGGCAGAGCAGTGTAAGACTGGAAAAGAAGACTGAACTTTTGATTGGTCACTCACATGTTTTTTAGCGAGATACAGAATTACATTTACACTCTTTCCTTGC
Source organism: Homo sapiens (assembly GCF_000001405.40). Taxonomy (NCBI): domain Eukaryota; kingdom Metazoa; phylum Chordata; class Mammalia; order Primates; family Hominidae; genus Homo; species Homo sapiens. Next base: position 592,617 of record NT_167247.2, read on the forward strand.
ATTTCTTCTATATTAATGATCCCTCTTGCAGGAGGTGTAGGAGAAAGAATGCTGCGTCAGTACAAGAACAAGACTTTTTGGTCAAAAGTTGATACCGTTTAAATTCCCTCTCCCAGCGCTTCATGCAAAAAAAAAAAAAGGTTACTTCCTGAATTAAGGTTTGTATTTAGTAACCAACATTGACTGGACAGAACATACGTGACTTGGATTCCAAATAAATGAGATTGCTCTTTTTTGGGTTTGTACTGTGCAGCTCTTGCCACAGTTGTTGAAGAGTTAGGGCTGTGTCTGATCAGGAGGCATCTGTAGGATTTTGATCTCCAAGGAATTGTGGGTGAGTCACATACACCTGGTGTATTACAGGTGGGCACCTGTAATCCCAGCTACTTGGGAGACTGAGACAGGGAGAATCTCTTGAACCCGGGAGGCGGAGGTTGCACTGAGCCAAGATCATGCCATTGCATTCCAGCCTGGGTGACACAGTGAGACTCTGTCTTGGGAAAAAAAATAGAAGTGGGCAGAGTCAAAAAAGCAACTTCAAATAATTAATCCCTTTGTCCATATGAGTTAAATACAAACGTGTATATTTTAGGTTTTTAAAAATCAATGCAATATGGGAATCAATTTTTTAAAAATTATTTTTTGCTTTTTTTTCTCCTCCCAGATGCCTTCTGATTGACCTAGTACACTGGGTTAAAAGGGAATTCAAAAACATTAAAAAAAAGTTCACTGGTTTTGATTCATCTCAGTCTTTTGGCCTGGAGATTAGGCCAAACATCAAGCATGTTGGGAGGGCAACAATTTAAAGCAACATTATTGACTGTAAAGCATTTGCCAGGAATTTACAGTACAAAATGACAGATAACAATTATTGTCATAACACAAGAGAATGGCAAGCAGCTTTGTGTGGTATGAAATTTAAACAGTTCTCAGGGGTTGTCCATTCCTGCAAAAGTTTATGTATCAAGGTGGGCAGAAGGCAATACATTTACACACTACAGATGATCCATAGAAAATTAAGCTCCAGAACTCCTAACATCACCAAAGCTGGTACTGGCTAATACTATGAAATGCGAATCTGTGCTTTATGCATGTACTGCTCAACAATACTACCACTCAACAGAATCCCCACACTGCAAGGTAGATGCATGGTAGATTAATCTTTGCCCTCTTTTGGAGAGCTTGAAAAATTCCTTAAACTTTTAGAAAGGGTGAAGAAGCAAAATAAAAGAGCTTCTCAAAAAAAAAAAATCTTGAATTATCAATTTTTGACGCTTCGTTGCTCTCTCTGGTAAGCCTCCTCCAGGGGTACTAGATGAGACAGCGTGGGAGCAAACAGGACATCCCAGATTTCTGTGTCCCTTTCCTAACCAAGGGTACCATAGAAACCTGCTCTCTACAGCAAGAGGCCAAAGTGCTTTCTAGAATTTAGTGCTGAGTAAACTGAGCCCCTTCATCTTTAGCTGCTCCCATAATCACTCTAATCCCCTTAATCCCATCAACCTTTATCATATATATGTATATATACATATACACTTATTTACAAGGTTGATAAAAGTATACACACTCAATTTTCAATGCAACACACTCTGCCACAAAAGAAATAGGGTCAAGGTTCTGACATGTCTACAAGTCAAGTGCCATATTGTTACTGGAGACGTATGTAAACCAGTCTTTAGTGTTTGCTATAGAGCACAAAGGCTTGTCATAAGGCTCCTCCAATGATAGACTGCTTTTCCTTTGGGAGCATTGATGTTTTATCTACTCAGACCAGAATAAATTTTTACTTGGAATTATTATTATTTTGAGACGGAGTCTTGCTCTGTTGCCCAGGCTGGAGTGCAATGGCACGATCTCAGTTCACCGCAATTTCCGCCTCCCAGGTTCAAGCAATTCTCTTGCCCCAGCCTCCCAAGTAGCTGGGATTACAGGCACCTGCCACCACGCCTGGCTAATTTTTTTGTATTCTTAGTAAAGACAGGGTTTCACTGTGTTGGTCAGGCTGGTCTCAAGATCCTGACCTCAGATAATCTATCTGCCTCGGCCTCCCAAAGTGCTGGGATTACAGGCGTGAGCCACCATGCCCTGTTGGGATTTTTTTAATACATGTGTTTACAGTGTGGATGAACTGCAGCTGCATATCAACTCCTCCAATATAAAGAAAAAGAAAATGGTATTTAACTGACTAATAAGTTTCATCTACCAGCTCTGGGCTTCAGTATTGGGTAGAAAGAAAACAGAGACTTCACCCTAAAACCAAAATTAAAAGACAAAAATTTTTTAAAGAATAAAGGAAAGAAAGAGTACTACTGTTGATTCTTTGGTCTGTGTCTAAAAGATGATATTCTGAATAACTCAGAGCATACAGCACTTCACACAAATGAGTAATAAGCTCCTCAGGCTTAAAAAAAAAATGGATGACTAGGGAGAAGTTGAAATGTCCTCGAGAGTCAGATGTTGGAGAATTTTGAAATAATAGACAAGCTTTTGTGTTCATTAAGATTCTTCTCTTTTTAGGGTTTCTCCCCTTCTTTCTTTTCCTTTCCTGTCCCCTTTCCCCAGAAAACATTTTTTTAAAACCAGCAGTTAGTGCAACTAATGTTCACTTAGCATACAGTGCAAACAGATGGAACAAAAAAAAAGGAATATTCCTTCTTTTCAGCTTTTTTCTCTTCACCAGTTAAAAAAGGAAAAAAAAAATTCTGAACTCTTTTAAGTCTTCATAGTTCTGAAATAAAAGATGAAAAACTCACAAAGAGAAGAGCACTCCTCTCTAAAAAATGGTATGTCATAGATCCAAACAAGGCTTCCACAGTTTGTCAAAGAGTGCTTATTAAGGCTTCTCATTTTCTACAGCCTTGCTGTGGAATTCTGCCACATGCAGGCTCTTGTCAATGTTGCTTGGAATAGGTTTTATTTCTTTTCCCAGCTGCTCCTCAATACCTTTCAGGTTGAAGTGATCGCCATATGTGATCAAGTTGATGGCTAAGCCAAAATGGCCAAAGTGACCTGGTCTTCCAATATGACGGAGATAGGTCTCTTCTAGCTTTGAAAAGTCAAAGTTTATTACCACATTCACAGCTTGTATATCAATACCTCAAGTAAACAGATCAGTGCAAATGAGAATAAGCCATTTCAGAAATAATAAAATACACAATTTTGATGTTCCTGCCTCATTTTAGCATGAATGTAGAAACAAAAATAACCCAGTTGAGAAATTTTGGCTGGCCATTCAACTCGCTGAGAGCAGTTAAAGAAAATGATCATCTGGTTTAGCTGAAGCCTGGAGAAAAGTGTGGTGAGGCCGTGTACTTTTTGGTGCTCAGTTACATATGCGTAGTACTGGGTTATGTCCTTCAGAGTTAGTTTTTCCATCAGGTTAGTCTCAGGGTTTCTGCAAATGGGAATTCATGAACTTCTGTATACTAAGAGGGAAAGTAGCAGAATGTAGTAAAATCTGCCTGTCTTCAGGTAGCATGAGAATAATATCTTCCATTAACTGCCCAAAATCCTGGGACAGAAACTTATCTGCCTCATCCAATACTATCACCTGGACATGACTGACCTTTGCTACTCCTTTCTTAATAAGATTCAGGATTCTCCCAGGGGCAGCAATCACCATGTGCACTGTATCATCCAGCCTCAGTACGTCATCTCCTGAATTGGTTCCTCCTGTGGTCATCACCACTTTGACTCCTCCCATGTGTTTGCTGACCTGGATGCAAATTTGACTGACCTGTAGAGCAGGTCCTCCTGTGGGAACAATCACTATTGTTTGTATAGTGTCCTTCTTCAGGTCTAGCCTTTTAAGTAGGGGAATGTCATGGGCACTGCTCTTGCCTGTTCCATTTTTTGCTCTAGCTAAGATATCCCTACCAGATAAAGCAATGGGAATGCTCTCTTCTTGGAAAGGAGATGGCTTTTTCCATCCCATTTCAAAAATTCTCATCAGTAACTGCCGTTTCAAACAGTAATCTTCAAATTAATATCCTCTTGTAGAGGTCACATCCAACATTTTGATTCTTAGATCCTTTGGAAGGAGTTTTAAAGTCTTCTTCCAATTATCACCAGGCTTAATAGTGGTGGTCATACTCTGCGCTTGTGGTTGAGTGCTATTATTGTGTTGGTGTTTTTCAGCTGGTTCGTCTGTTGCTGTGTCTGTGTGGCCTCTCCTCTAGGGCCACCACTGGGTTTCAGGGGACCCCTCAGCTGACCATTTTGACTGGACAGACCCATTATAACAGCGTTCTCTGTTCTGGTTGTGCTCATGCTGTGTTAATTGCAAAGGTGTCTTTCAAACTTCAAAACGTTTGAAAGTCAATAGAGAAACTGTAATAATAGTTTATTAGGCTGTCCAAAGTGAAGAGATAAATATAGGTCTTGCTCAATAATTAAGTTCTTTTATTATAATGCAGGCAAGCACCCGTAAGTCTCTGAATGGTAAGCAGCAGTAACTTACTTTCTTGTACTGTATCAACTTTTAATTTTTAAAAGGCCCTCTTACCAGCTTCAATTATAGCTGAATTCACTTACTTCAATCACTGAGGCCACTCCTGTGCTGGACACTCTTGGTCCTTTATTGTTGACTGGAAACTCCCAAAATATTGCCACTCTTTCCTCTTTGGATACCTCAACCTGCACCTCCAGATATAATTTCTAAGATCAATTACTGAGACACACAAAGAAATCTGGTGAGATTTTACGTGGTTTAGAATAAAGTCCAAAGAGGCTGTTTGATATAGTGGTTTTTCCTACTTCTTTCTAGAACTCACAGATGAAAAAGAAAAATGCAGAAATATGAGACTCATTACCAAGTGACTCGTCAACACTCATATACTGATGTGTATTTTGTTTTGTTTGTTTAAAGACAGTCTTGCTATGTTGCCCAGGCTGGAGTGCCGTGGTGATTCACAGGTGTGATCATGGTTCACTACAGCCTCAGGCTCCTGGGCTCATCCTCCCACCTCAGCATACTGAGGAGCTAGGACTGCTGGCATGTGCCATCATACCCAGTTAAATTATATGTATTTTAATTAGGGTAGAACCCTTAGTTATTTCCAAAGCTATTTCTTATACTGTATTTAAAACTTAAACTTAATTCTAAAGAAAAGATAATGAATAAATGAATCCCTTTTTTTTGTTGAGATGGAGTCTCACTCTGTCACCAGCCTAGAGTGCAGTGGTGCAATCTCAGCTCACTGCAGCCTCTGCCTCCCGGGTTCAAGTGATTCTCCTGCCTCAGCCTCCTGAGTAGCTGGGACTACAGGACCGCGCACCACCACACCCAGCTAATTTTTGAATTTTTAGTAGAGATGTGTTTCACCATGTTGGCCAGGATGGTCTCTATCTCCTGACCTTGTGATCTGTCTGCCTCAGCCTCCCAACATGCTGGGATTACAGGCGTGAGCCACCGCACCCGGCCATAACTTATTTTTAATATCTCTTGACTGCAGCTGCTACCACAATTTGCATCTTCAAAATGGTTATGGAGGTTCAAGATGGCTGACTGGAAGCAGCTAGAGTATGCTACTCTCAAAGAGAGGAAAGAAAGTGGCAAGTAAATAGTAGCTCTTCAGGTGAATTCTCTAAGAGAGCATGTCAAGATTCACCAAGGAAGTGAGGGGGCTCACGAAGACCTCAGCACATTTTATCAGGAGCTTCTCCTAGCCACACCCATCAGGGCTGGTGCCTGCACCTGTCATTGAGATATTCGTGGGAAAGCCACGTTTCCAGCTCTGCCCAGGTATATCCCACCACCCTCACAAATTAGGAAGCTCAGAACACTGGACACCCACCCCACTGTCCAGTCCTTCACCTGAAACAACAGAGAGCACCTCACAGTAAATAAAGGTCAGCTCCCCTCCCACCTACTTGTGTGGCAGCTGACTCTTACCTGCAAATGCCATATCCTGAGTCATAGGTCAAACCACACAGCCCAACACAAAACCTGCTGACAGAAGTGCATAGGACTATAGAAACAACCCCAAAGACCCTACCTAGTACAACACTCTCCAGATGAGAAGGAACCAGCACAAGAATTCTGCCACCATTAAAAATCTGAATGGAATGACATCATCAAAGGCTGACTCTAGGTTTCCAGCAATGGTTCTTAACCAAAATGGAGGCAGGAGGATGACAGAGGAGGAATTCAAAGTATGGATTACAGGGAAACTCAATGAGATCCAAAATAAGGTTAAAAATCAGTACAAAGAAACCTGTAAAGCAATCCAGGAAATAAAAGAAGATGCAAACATCTTAAAAAGAAATCATTCAGAGCAATGAAAACTATAAAACTCACTTAAGGAATTTCAAAATACAATTGAATGCTTTCCCAATAGACTAGACCAAACAGAAGAAAGAATTTCAGAGTTTGAAGATTGGTCTTTCAAACTTACCCAGTCAGACAAAAACAAAGAAAAAAGAAATTTAAAAATTCTTAAAATTCTTGGCACAAAGTCTCCAAGACACATGGGTTGTGTAAAATGGCAAAACCTGTGAATGACTGGCATTAATGAGAGAGAAAAAGAAAAAGTAAAAAACATGGAAAACATATTTGAGGGAATAATTTGAGAAATTTTCCTTTATCTTGCTAGGGAAGTAGACATACAGATATAATAAATCCAGAGAAGACCTGCCAGATCCTATATAAAATGAACATCACCAAGGTATATAGTGACCAGAATGCCCAAGGTCAATGCTAAAGAAAAAACTTTAAAGGCAGCTAGAAAAAAAGGTTAGATCCCATACAAAGGGAATCCCATCAGGCTAACAGCAAACAGAGGAAACATTATAAACTTATTGGGGGCCTTCTCAGCAGAAATCTTATGGGGGACTTACATTCAGCATTTTTTAAGGAAGAGACTCCAACCAAGAATTTCATACAACACCAAACCAAGCTTCATAAGTTAACAAGAACTAAAATATTTTTCAGATAAGCAATAGCTAAGGGAAGTCATTACCACTAAACCAGCCTTACAAGAGATCCATAATGGATTTCTAAACATGGAAAGAATAATAACTGCTACTACAAAAACACACTTAACTACATAGTCCACAGACCCTATATGGCAACCACACAATAGAAACTACAAAGCAACCAGCTAACAACTTTACGATATGATCAAAATCTCACATATTAATATTAACCTTGAATGTGAATGGTCTTAACACCCTACTTCAAAGGCACAGAGTGGCAAGTTGGATAAAAAACAAGACTCACCCATCTGCTGTCTTCAAGAGACCCATCTTACACGTGATGACACTGATAGACTCAAGGTAAAGGGTAGGAGAAAGATCTATCACCCAAACAGAAGACAAAAAAGAGCAGGGGTTACAATTATTATTTCAGATAAAATAGACTTTAAAACAACAGTAGTCAAAAAAGGATAAAGAAGGGCTCTATGCAATGATAAAGGGTTTGATCCAACCACATGGCTTAACTATCCTGAATATATATGCAACTAAAATTGGAGCACCTAGATTCATAAAACAAGTACTGCTAGACCTACAAAAATACTTAGCCACACCATGGGAGTGGGTGACTTCAACATCCCATTGACAGAGTTAGATCATCAAGGCAGAAAACTAACAAAGAAATCCTGGAGTTAAATTCGACATTTGACCAATTGGACATAATAGACATCTACAGAACACTCCACCCAGCAACCATAGGATATACATTCTTCTCATTTGCATATGGAACATATGCTAAGATTGACCACATGCTTGGACATCAGGCAAGTCTCAATAAAGTTAAAAAATTCAAAATCATACAAACTATACTTTGGGCCATGGTGGAATAAAAATACAAATCAATACCGGTAAGTTCTCTCAAAACCACAAAATTACATGGAAATTAAATAACTTTATTCTGAGTAACTTTTGGGTAAACAATAAAATTAAGGCAAAAATTTAGAAAATTATTTAAAATAAATAAAAACAGAGATACAATATTTTATTTTTTATTTTTACTTTTTTATATACATATTTTATTATACTTTAAGTTCTAGGGTACATGTGCACAACGTGCAAGTTTGCTACATATGTATACATGTGCCATGTTGGTGTGCTGCACCCATTAACTCGTCATTTACATTAGGTATATCTCCTAATGCTATCCCTGCCTCCTCCGCCCACCCCACGACAGGCCCCGGTGTGTGATGTTCCCCTTGCTGTGTCCAAGTGTTCTCATTGTTCAATTCCCACCTATGAGTGAGAACATGTGGTGTTTGGTTTTTTTGTCCTTGCAATAGTTTGCTGAGAATGATGGTTTCCAGCTTCATCCATGTCCCTACAAAGGACATGAACTCATCATTTTTTATGGCTGCATAGTATTCCTTTGTATATAAATGCCACATTTTCTTAATCCAGTCTATCACTGATGGACATTTGGGTTGGTTCCAAGTCTTTGCTATTGTGAGTAGTGCTGCTATAAACATACGTGTGCATGGAGACACAATATTTTAAAATCTCTGGAATACAGCTAAAGCAGTGTTAGGAAAGCTTACATCACTAAATACCTACATCAAAAAATTAGAAAGATCTCAAATTAACAATCTAACATCACACCTAGAGAACTAGAAAAACAAGAACTAGTCCCAAAGCTAGAAGACAATAAATAACCAAAATTCATTAGAGAACTGAATGAAATTGAGACTCAAAAATACATGCAAAGTAATAACCGAAAGCTGGTTCTTGTCAACCAGATCAATAGGACACCAGCTAAATTAACAACAAAGAAAGAGAAGATCTAAATAAGTGCAATCAGAAATGGCAAAAGTGAAATAACAACCAATCCCACGGATATATAAAAAATCCTCAGAGACTATTATGAACACCACTATGCACACAAACTAGAAACTCTAGAGGAAATGAATAAATTCCTGGAAGGTCACAACACCCCAAGATTGAGCCAGGAAGAAATCAAAACCCTGGAGAGATCAATATAGAGTTCTGAAATTGAAAAACAAACCTACCAAATAAAAAGGGCCCTGAAACAGGTGGATTCATAGCCAAATTCTACCAGATGTACAAAGAAAAGCTGGTACCAATCCTACTGAAATATTTTTTAAAAATGGGGAAGAGGACTCCTCCCTAACTCATTCTACGAAGCCAGCATCACTCTGATACCAAAATCTAGTAAAGACACAACAACAAAAGAGAAAATTACAGACAAATATCCCTGATGAACATAGATGCAAAATTTCTCAATAAAATACTAGCAGATGGAATCCAGCAGCACATCAAAAAGCTAATTCACCACTATCATGCAGGCTTCACTACCAGTACGCAAGGTTGGTTCAACATATGCAAATCAATAAACATGACTTGCTGCATAAACAATTAAAAACAAAACCATTTAATCATCTCAATGAATGCAGAAAAAATGTTTTGATAAAATCCAACATCCCTTCATGAAAAAAATCCTCAACATACTAGGCATGGAAGAAACATACCTCAAGATAATAAGAGCCCACTATGACAAACCCACAGCCAACATTATACTGAATTGGCAAAAGCTGGAAGTGTTACACTTAAGAACTGGAACAGGCCAAGGATGCCAACTCTCACCATTCCTATTCAACATAGTGCTGGAAATCCTAGTCAGAACAATCAGGCAAGAGAAAGAAATAAAAAGCAACAAAATAGGAAAAGAGGAAGTCAAATTATCTCCTTGCTGACAATACGATTCTATACCTAGAAAACCTTAATGACTTTGCCAAAAGGCTTGTAGAGCTGATAAAAACTTCAGTAAAGTTTCAGGATACAAAATCAATGTACAAATCAGTAGTATTTCTATATACCAATAACATTGAAGCTGAATGCCAAATCAATAATACAATCCGATTCACAATAGCCACAAAAAGAATAAAGTATGTTGGAATCCACGTAACCAAAGCAGTGAATGATTTCTTTGAGGAAAACTACAAAATACTGAAGAAAGAAATCATAGAGGATACAAATAAATGGGGAAAAAAACCCATGCTCATGGATTGGAAGAATTTATATTGTTAAAATGACCATACTCTCCAAAGCAATCTACACGTTCAATGCTATTCCTATCAAACTACCAATATTGTTTTTCACAGAATTAGAAAAAATATTCTAAACTTCATTTGAAATCAAGAAAGAGCCCAAATAGCAAAAGCAATACTAAGCAAAAAGAAAAATACTGGAGGCATCATACTACCCAACTTCAAACTATATTACAAGGCTACATTAACCAAAACAACATGATAGTGGTACAAAAACAGACACATAGGCCAAATGGGAGTCTCTTAGCAACTACTTTACTAATATTAATTTGCTTATATTTTGAAAAAGAGTATGGACCATGTCACTAAGCTGTTATGAGTTACATAACTGGCATGTGAAGTTGGTTGGTGGAGAGGAGAGACTGTGCTTCTATGGAATACAACCTCAGACTGCACTCTGATCCTAATCTCTGTCATGGCCCTATCAATCACGAGCCATCTCCGAGACTCATTCTGGCCAGACATTTAAAATACATTTTTCAATGGAAGTATTCAAACTACAGTAAAATAGGAGAATCAGGTGGAATAGTGGAACCAACTGCTTATAAATTTACTGTACACATAAAAATCATCTCTTCAAATCACCATGCCACCTCTTACTAAATGTGACTAAAGGTTTCCAGAAGCTAGGGAAAGTTCTTTAGCCTTTCTGTGGCTTTGTTTCACCATATTTAAAAAGCCCCACACATGAAGAATTATGCAGCCCAAAATGTCAATTGTTCTTCTGTTGAGAAACCCTGAACTAGGTGCACTGTGACTTAAGAAAACTACTCCAACGCAAAGACAGATAAATGTGTTCATATAATTTTTAACTTCCAAGTTTAGGGATATTACAGCCAACATGGAAGTAAGGATAAGTTGTTGGTTAAAGAGAAGTTGTTGATCATTCATTCTATATTAGATGTAAAGAAATGAAAAATAAGGAGTGGGAAAAGCTACCCATTCACTCTGCCTATTGAAATCAGGCTTCCACCTGTATCTCTGTACCAGAACTTTTCTGGTCAGGGGCAATAATAACTTCCTTGCATTTAGCAACAGTTTCATGAGTGGACCTAATTTTTAACAATACTTTAAATATTTGAACTTGATTATAGACTGAAGTAAGATAGAAGAGTGGTTGGAAATACAGAGAATGGCATTAGATGAACTTATCTAATGCTTTATGTTTCTTCTGTGGAACAGAAGGTGAGACTGTCTGCCAAGCATGAAGGGAGTGTGGGTAAATTAATGAAGGAAAGATGAATGTTTAAAACAGTTCCTGAAGGAAATAGGAGATGGCAGTAACCATAACAAATAAAGTAAGAGAAAAGTAAGATTGCTATTAATTTTAAACAACATCAGAGTGTGTGAGTGTGGAGTTTTCTCCAGATTTTCTGAACCGTATGTATAGAAAATACTGGATGCTGTTTTGGAGTATTCCCTGGAGATGTGGCTAGAGGATAAATGTGTTATGAAGTTGGAAGTCCCAGAAATAAATTGCAAATTTTTTTCCTCTGGCTTACTGTTCTAGCCCTTTACAGACATAGAGGTCTGGCTCTATAGGGACATAAGTACAGTTACAAGGAACTGAAAGACTTACGGAAAGTGGGCAGTTAAGAAACTGAAAGTATCTTTGAAGCCAAAGAAATGAAAAAGATGTAGAGAAAAAAGACACATATCATATGATTTTACTTGTATTATTACATTAGGGAAAAGAAAAAAACTATAAAGATGGAAACAAATTTATGGTTACCAGAAGCTGGAGTCAGTGATGTGTTGTTTATAAAAAGGAATGGGAGGATTTGGGAGGTGACAGAATTGTTTTATATCTTGCCTGTGTCTATAGTTGCATGATTATATGTGTTTGCAAAAAGTCAAGTAATTATATGCTAAAAAAGAGAATGTTAACTGTCTATAAATTATACATTTATAAAATAAATTGGAATGAGAGAAGTAATGGGAGAATGGCAAAGAGCATACTCCAATACCAAACAAAAGACTATGAAGGTGGGATATAGTCTTAGAGTAGACATGTAGGTAATCTTCATGATGTGATCATAACATCTGCACTACCTTTGTAACTTTCATATTAACTGTTGCACTTACTACATTGTATTCTAATTATCTGGTGTATGTGTTTCTCTCTTTATAAGGTGAATGATTTGAAGGTGGGGAATTGAGACTTGACCTGATACACAATTGAATTTTTGATATCTGGATTATGCCACAATGTCTTGTATTAGGTTGATGATCAACAATAATTTTAAAAAGAATAAAAAAGGAGTGGAGGTCAAGGAGGTCTGAGGTTAGTGTGGGGAGGCAAGATAATCTACCTAATATTGATTGTGGCAGCATGATGGTCAGTGGGAAGGTTGCATCATCAACATAGATGCCTGGGTGATGGCCATATTTGATACTGGAGAGAAGAAACTGGTATGGGCACCCAATATGCAGTTAGGAACATGCCTGGAAAATAAGCATATGAGCAAAATAAGAAGATGTAGAGAATTTTTGTGGTAAGAAAATGACCTCAAAGTGCAAGATATTTTATATGAAAGAGAAGAAGTAACAGTCAGAAAAAAAATAAGAAACTTAGAGAATACAGACCTTGATCCTACCCACCTCCTCAAACTGTGAGAGAAGGAGCAGCTTTGAATTGAAGAATAAGAGAAATAGCTTTTGGGAGAAGAACCAAATGTCAATGACAACACAGAAATATCAGGAGTAGGTAGTGGTATTGGAGAGCTTTTTCATAGTAGTGCTAGGGTTCTAAGGAATTTTATTAGTGAGCAAAGAATTCAAAAAGAAACATTCCAAAATGTAAGAATGACAGCATGGGCCGGGCGCAGTGGCTCACGCCTGTAATCCCAGCACTTTGGGAGGCCGAGGCGGGCGGATCACGAGGTCAGGAGATCGAGACCATCCCGGCTAAAACGGTGAAACCCCGTCTCTACTAAAAATACAAAAAATTAGCCGGGCGTAATGGCGGGCGCCTGTAGTCCCAGCTACCTGGGAGGCTGAGGCAGGAGAATGGTGTGAACCCGGGAGGCGGAGCTTGCAGTGAGCCGAGATGGTGCCACTGCACTCCAGCCTGGGCGACAGAGCGAGACTCCGTCTCAAAAAAAAAAAAAAAAAGAATGACAGCATGGGATAGGAAAAGGTGGGATGACCTAAGTTAAAGAAAAGAAATTAACAATATGTTGCTTGAATTTATTTTTCTAGCGATAGAACTTTTGCAAATGAAAACACTTCTTCACCATGCACTTATGTACCTTTTGGTCCTAGAGAAGAAATAATTTATTTTCAAAGATGTGCTAACCTTGTGGGTTAATTGTTATTTAAATAACAACTATTTACTCATGAGAGAGAGTGACTTGCATGACATAAAAAATTTCATAATTATTTTTGTAAGTAAGAGAAACATACAGTTTCACTTTGCTTTACAAAACAGTCTTTTGGGTAACAGTGTATAAATTACTTATACTCCAAATCACGGTTGCCACACACAACAATAACATTATTTAAAACAACTTTTTTGTAAATCATTTTGTAAAATGGAAAAAAAAGAACATGTTTGCATTAGGTGCTTCCTGCAGATAATAAAAACAAAATGGAATTTATTTTTCCCTCAGATGTGTTTGACATGTGATAAAGGTAATTCTCACATAAGAAATATTGTAGAGTGCTTACAAAGAATATATAAATCATAAGAATAAATCAAACACAAGTCACTAGAACTTGTATTGCCATATTAATATAATTATTCCAAAATAAAAGTTAATCTATAGTTTCCTAAAAAAGATGACCTTTGAAAAGGACAAAAGAGAAATATTACAGCTACGTGAACTGGCATTTTGAATGTTGATATGGTTTGGTTCTGTTTCCCCACCCACATCTTACAACTCGAATTGTAATCCCCAAGTGTCGAGGGACGGAGGTGATTGGATCATGGGGGTGGTTTCCCCCATGCTGTTCTCATGATAGTGAGTGAGTTCTCAAGAGCTCTGATGGCTTTATTAGTGTTTGGAAGTTCCTCCTTCACTCTTCTCTCTCCTGCCACCATGTGAAGAAGGTTCTTGTTTCCCCTTCACTTTCTGCTATAATTGTAAGTTTCCTGAGGCATCCCCAGCCATGCAGAACTGTGAGTCAATTAAGCCTCTTTCTTTTATAATTACCCACTCTCAGGTAGTATTCTTTATAGCAATGTGAAAACGGACTAATACAAATGTCTTACCCCAAATTAAGTTTGATTATTTTTTCTTTTTTTAAAAAAACAGCTTTATTGGGAGTATAATATACAAAGAATTGCACATACTTAATATGTACAAGTTGATGAGCTTTGACATATACAAATATCCATGATACCATTACCACAATCAAGGTAATAGACGTATCTATCACCTTCCAAAGTTCCGTTGCATCCCTTTGCTTTTTTTTTTTGTTTTTTTTTTTATAAGAACACAACATGAGATTTACCCTCTTAGCAAATTTTGAAGTGCACAATACCTATAGCCACTATGTTGCACAGTAGAGCTCTTATTCATCTAGCATAACTGAAACTGTATACTCATTGGAAAACAATTTCCCTATCTCCATTTCCCCCATCCCCTACCCTTGGCAATAACTTTCATTCTCTACTTCTAGAGGCTAAATGTTACAGGTCCTCACATAAGTGGACTCATGGAGTATTAGTCTTTCTGAGAGGCTTATTTCACTGAGCATAGTGCTCTCCAGGTTCATCCATGTTGTTGCAAATGGAATAAACTTTTTATTTTTAAAGGATGATTTTGCATTTTCAAACTAAAAAATTGGAATACCTCTCACTCTATTTGTTTGAAAATAGGCAGGATACATAGGTCCACAATCATGCTCACTGTACTCATAACCCCACCTTTTTACCAGCTATCTATTGTCGTTTGATTTCAATTAACAGTTAGATTTGAGTGAGGCTTGAATAGGATGATCATGAGAATGGTTCTAGCATGTGAGTCTGAGTAGCTATCAAGGTTTCCAATTACCTTGAAGCAGGACTTAACTCTCGGTCATATCACTTTTGTGTACGTATATAAAAACACAAATACATAAATAAAAATCAATGAGACTTATTTCATGGAGTTGTTTTTTTTTTTTTTTTTTTGCTGTAGAATAGTAATATATTTGTTTATGTCATGAAGTACACACCAGGAGATTGGTAATGGAAAACAACTGGTAAATTAGATATTAAAATTTTGATATATCATTTCAAAACCAAACCAGATTAAAATTTAAAAAGCATATAATTTTCATTTGAATTAAATGACATTATCTGCAATTTTCAACAAGATAAAAGTATACATCCTCTGCCCAACTAGTAACATGAGAATATCCTTGCATAATGTACCTCTGCCCCATATAATATTTTACTTAGTTATGTATGCAGTCTAGTATCATTGAGCAGATGATACTTTCATGCATTTTAGAAAATAAAACATATGAAAGCTATACGATGGAATATTTTTCTCATATTGATGTGGCAAACATTTATTTACCACATCAATTCATTTCCTCCAAATAAAAACTGATACTAGTTTCTTGATACAGAAAAAGCAGAGGACTTGGATAGAGGGAATAACAGTCACTAATTTGACTGTACCTGTATTAGTCCATTCTCACACTGCTATGAAGAAAAATACCCCAGGCTGGATAATTTATAAAGAAAAGAGGTCTAATGAACGCATGGTTCTGCATTGCTGGAGAGGCCTCAGGAAACTTACAATCGTGGCAGAAGGTGAGGGAGAAGCAAAGACACGTCTTACAGGGTGGCAGGCAAGAGAGCTTGTGCAAGTGTAGAAAAAACTACCAGTCATAAAAACATCAGATCTTGTGAGAATCCACTCACTGTCATGAGAACAGAATGGGGAAACCACCCCCATAATCCAATCACTTCCCACCAGGTCTCTTCCACAACACCTGGGGATTACAATTCAATGTGGATTTGAGTGGGGACACAAAGCCTAACAATATTAGTACCAAATGCAATCCTAGATGAACTCCTAGAGCAGGAAATTTTAAATATAAGTTTTGAATGGAAAGACAGCTGTAGAGGAAGAATATGATTTCTCAAAGAACTATTATAAGTGTCCTGTTCTTGTCTAAAGTAATTCTTCCCTAACACAGAATCTCACTTCCTATAGGTTCTTAAGCATGATGATACATGTTTTGTGGCTGAAATAACCTAATGAAATATTCCAATACACAATTTTATTACATATATATGTTACTAATTTGTACATAGCTTTATAAGTATATATACAAGTATACATAAGTTTATAATATGCATCTAGCTTTTCAAAACTACATGAAAAGAATCTATGAAAGATATAGTAACAAAAATCAAACATAAGGCTATGTATACAACAGTAAATTGAATTCATAGATGACAAATTTATACTATAATTCACAAATAGCAATAAATAGTAGAAAAGCATGATCTCATATTATAAAACTGAACAAAATTAATTTTAAATGCTACAACATAAATATCAAGTGGAAAAAAGCTTCCGTTTTACAAGATGAGGCACATTCTTTACAGTTGTATGTTACTTGGATTAGTATTTTAATTTGTAATTTAAATAGAACTTTCAATATGGTAGACTACTGTAATGATGATCCAGTATATCAGAATAGTGAATTAAATAAAACAAGAGAATAAGTGAATGGGTGGCTATGTGAATATATACTGTACATACATAGTCCCCAGGGTGAATGAGAACTGGAACTTTGCTAATACCAACTCTCTCCCTTGCCTCTCTCTCTGCCCTCTCTCTATGTATATACATTTGTATTAACAAGAACCCAGTTCTCATTCATTCTGGGGTAAGGGGCTTTCAGAGAAAAGGTAAACACCCTTGAGGCTTTCTGAAATGTCTTCTTTTTTTAATAGTAATGACCCTTTCTCCTTTACAGTTGAGTGTGGTGCTTTGCATGAAGTCACCCATCTCTTTCCCTAAGGAGGCCAACTTTGAAGGATAGACTTTGAAGAAAGTTTATCTCAGTGCTGTTTGTTAAGTGGCTTACCCCAAGAGGCCTCTTGCAGAAGTAATTGTTAAAACCATGAGGCACACCTGAGAGAAAGGCGCCAGGGACTACCTAACAAAGCTGGCACCTCTGGAGACACTTTGGAAGTATTTAATACATATGCCCTGATGGAGCATCTTACTCTTCAAAGAAAACAGTTTTGAGGCACCTAAGCAATTATGTACTTATTGACTTTGCGAAAACATTTATAACATCTTAACAATACAATTATCTGTAAGCTTTCTAATGAGCCCCCAAGTGACCTACTAGTGGAACAAAAACTTTCTTGATAAGAGCCAGTTTCCAAGAGACCATTTTTAATTGTATGAAAACTGAAAAATGATGGTGTTAAGAAGCTGCTGTTAGCTCTGTGTAAACTGTGTGGACTCTTTGCCAGTACAGCCCTCAGTGAACACACATCTTTAATAGAAATTAGCAATTGCTATAACCTGTAGTCTTAGAAGAAAATAAATACTGTAGAGGCCTCCAAAGTTATTCTAGTTACCTACTCTCTATATTGGGAGACAGAATTCAAACTCCAAAATTTCAAATTCTTCTTTGTTTTATGTCTAAGTGGGTTAGAATAATCTAATAAAATACTCCCAATAAACAAATCAATCCTGCATTCTTTTTAAATGTTCTGTGAAAGCAATAAACCTTGTAGCTAATTTTCAGTATGGCATATACACCAGTTAACAATACATCTTTTAGAATCAGATGGTGTGAGTTTGAACAATGAACCACCAATTGTTAGGTATGTGACTTAAAGAAAGCTAGTTAATTTGGTGGCTCAGTTGTAAAAAAGATGGTAATAGTATCTCTCACATGTGGCATGTTAAATCGGTTAATATATATTAACTACATTAAATAACATCACATATAAGCGTGGAAGAGATGTTAGTGCTCATCATTCAGCCACCCTAGTAACGATGTATTATTTTCTATAGTTATTTCAAAAAATACTTTTGTATTTTTGTTTTTAAAAATTATTTTTATTTTATAGAAGAGAAAATTCAGATTAAAGAAACCATAACTATCTTGACTAAGATTGCACTGGTATTTATCAGTAGTGTTCAACTTCAAATGCACATCTTCTGATTATGAGAATGGTGGTTCTTCCATCACCTTATAGCTATTTCCACATCCATTTACAATTCAAGCTCTTCCAATACTGGAAGTGTTAAAAATGGGATGGAAAACTGTAACTGGAAGAAATAAACACTGACTATTTTGTTTCACTTAAGGTTAATCAAATTTCAAAATGCACATTCTTTTTCCCATTACGGTGGTATAAGTAACTCATTCTGTCTCTTCCCCTGAGAAAGTTAAAATTGTCCCTGATTGCATGTGGTATATTATTGTACATAAAAGCTATAAAGAATTTATCAAAAAACTGTTAGAAATAATAAATGAATTCAATAAGGTTGCAGGATACAAATCAACATATAAAAATTATTTCCATACACTAACAACAATCTAAAAAAGAAATCAAGAAAACAACCCCACTTACAATAGCTACAAAAAAAAGAAAAATAACATACTTAAGAATTAACATAACCAAGGAGGTTAAAGATTTGTACACAAAAAAACTATAAAGCATTGATTAAAGTAATTGAAAAAGACACAAATAATTGGAAAAACATCCTATGGATATATCCTGCAAATTGGAAGAAATAATATTGTTAAAACGTTCATGCTATTCAAAGTAATCTACAGAGTCAGCATAATCTCATCAAAATATCGATGACATGTTTCACAGAAATGGGAAAAAATCCTATAATTCTATGGAACTAAAAAAATAACCCAAGTAGCCAAAGCAATCTTGCAAAAAATGAACAAAGCTGCAGGTATTATACTACCTGATTTGAAAATACACTCCAAAGCTAAAGCGATTAAGACAGCATGGTACTGGCATAAAAACAGACAGAAAGACCAATGGAAAAAAATAAAGAACTCAGAAATAAATGTATGCATTTACAGTCCATTGATTTTTGACAAAAGTGCCAATAGCACACAATGGAGAAAAGACAGTTCCTTCAACAACTAATGTTGGAACAATTGGATATTTGCATGCCAGTAGAATGAAATTGGACCCTAATCTCACACAATATTTTTTTAAAAAACTGAAAATGGATTAAAGACATTTGGATTAAATGTGTAATTTGAAATTGTAAAAATACTAGAAGAAAATATTGGGGAAAAAGTTCCATGACATTGATCTGGGAAAGACTTTTTGGATATGACCTTGAAAGTACTGGCAATAAAGCCAAAAAGAGACAATTTTGACTACATCAAACAAAAATGCTTCAGCACAGCCAAGCGAACAATCAACTGAGTGAAGAGACAACCTTTGTAATCGGCCAAGCACACATCTGTTAAGAGGTTACTATTCAAAATATATATTACAAATAACCCAATTAAAGAAAACAAATAACCTGGTTACGATCAAATGACCTGAAGAGACATTTCTCAGAAGAAGACATGCAAATGGCCAACAGGTATATGAAAAAATACTAAATTAATAGTCAGCAGAGAAAGGCAAATGAAAACCACAATGAGATATAACCTTATATCTGTTAGAATAATTAATATTAAAAAGACAAAAGGTAACACATGCTGATAAGGATGTCAAGAAAAAGGAACTCTTCCGCACTGTTGATGCGAATGTGAGTAAGTATAGCCATTATAGAAAATAGTATGAAAGTTCTTTAAAAAATTAAAAATAAAACCACCATATGATCAAGGAATCCCATTACTTGGTATATATCCAAGGAAATGAAATCAGCATATCAAAGAAATATGTGCACTCCAATGTTTATTGCAGCACCATTCATAATAGCCAAGACATGGAATCAACCTAAGTGTTCATCAGCGGATGAATGGATAAATAAAATATGGCATATGTACACAATAGAATACTATTCAGTCTTAAAAAAGAAGCAAATTCTGTCATTTGTGACAACATGGATGAACCTGGAGAACGTTATTTTAAGTGAAGTAAGCTAGGAACAGAAAGACAAATGCTACATGATCTCACATTATGCAGAATTTTTAAAAGTTGAAATCATAGAAATAGAGAGTAGAATTGTGGTTACTAGGGGCTGGGAGGGGATGTGGTGGGGAGATGTTGGTAAATGGATACAATATTTCAGTTATATAGGAGAAATAAGTTCAAGAGATCTATTGTACAACATGGTGACTGTAGTTAATAACGTTTTGTATTCTTGAAAATTGCCAAAAGAATAGATGAGTTTTCTCACCACAAAAAAGTATGTGAGGTATTGCATACGTTGATTAGCCATTTCACAAGGTATACATATTTCAAGACATCATGTTGTACATGATAAATATAATTTTTATTTGCCAACTATAACAATAAACGAATAATAGTGTATGACAGGTAAAAAAAGATTGTAAGCAAATTATTTTCTTATATTACAAAGAAAAACAAACCTTTGATTCCTTTGATTTAAAACCTCATCAGTTTTTAACTTCCAAATCCACAGGTGTACCTACCATTTCTGCCTTCATTTCTCTAACTGTGGTGAACTCCTCCGGCTATGCTCAGTATGGTAACTGCTGCTGCTTTCTCAGGTGTATAATGCCAATGACTATTGGCTCCCTTTTCTGTTTCTTTATCCTCACTTCGCACAGTTCTTACTGTCCTTCCTTTTCTGTTTTGAGAAAACAGGGCTCAAATTGTCTGTGAACCTCTCTAGTGGTATTGAAATGGGAAAAGTTCCCTTGTCCCCCTCGCAGGGCATGCGATGGGGATGTGGCTCGCTTTTTCAGGGCCCCACTGCTCAAACAACTAGGGGAGCTTACAGACAGGCAGACTGTGGAGCTCCAACCCCATGGCAGTGTTTAGGGGTGAATGTTTGCAGCTTCTGAAGCCCCAGTGGGCGTGTGTTACAGGGTGCTCTTAATTTGCTGTCTACAGGTGGCTTGTGTTAGCCCAATTAGACCTTCTACCTTGTCCGAGGACAGAGGGCTTTCTGTATCCCAGGGTTTCTTGCCTTGGTGTACCGGGAGAATTAGATCACACGTGGGCTTGGAGAATTAGTGTAAAGCTTTATTGAGTGGAAGTAGCTCTCAACTGATGGGGGAGCCAGAAGGGAAATGGTCTTCCCCTGGAGTTGGGCCACTCGGCCTTGCTCTCCTCTGCCGCGGCCAAACTCCACCTCCTCCCACCAGCTGATGGCCTGCTGGTATGCTGGTGCCTGTCTGTGTGCTCTTCTGCCTGCGTGCTCCTCTTGACATCCTCTCGAGGACCAGCCGCTTGCATCTTCTTTCGCCAATGTACTCCTCTGGACATCTGGCCACCTGTGTGTCTGCCTGCTGGGGCCTCGGGTTTTTATAGGCCAAGGATGGGGGCATGGTGGGTCAGGGTGGACTTTTGAAATGCAACATTTGGGCGAAAAAGCAGGAGTGCCTGTCCTCACCTAGGTCCGTGGGATGGAGCCCTAGTCAGGGAACACACCTTCCTCTACCCAGCACTTCTCTTCTCCCCTTTTGTATCATTTAAAGGGACCACGTTCTTCCCTTCCCAGCACTCCCTTATCAGTATGCTAGCATATTGCTTTTGGGATTCACTTCTCTAGGTTTTATTGTGTGTATTTTACTTTTTTTGTTTTTAATGTTTCTTTACTTATTTTCTTTAGTATACTGAAACTGAACAGCCTTAGATGTAACAAAATGCTATATTTGTTCAGAGCTGTGAGTTAATCATTGGAAGAGCATCAGAAAGTAAAGAAAACGAATGGGATATAAACAGAATGTGAGAATTGCAGTGGCATTGATAAAACAGATGGCAACTGATTTTGATTAAAGGGTTATGAGTTTGAATTAAAACAAAATATGGCGTGAGATTTGGTTGAATTTAGAATAGAAGTAAAAGCTGCAGATAAATAAAGTGAAAGTCAGTGGTACATGGTTAATATTTAAAGCAAAAAAAAAGTGAAAGAGGTAGACTACATTGAGACAGAAGAGCATGTTGTCAAAGTATGAGGCTTGGATGTTTCCCACTTTGGAAATATTTGATGAGAAATACGTGTTGACCAAAAAAAATTTTTTATCATCTAATAAGCAAATGTGTCAGAAAATTTTGACTTAAAATAATATTTGCAACCAACTAAATTATATCATTCATTATCTCTACTTATTCATCTATTCTGTGAACATAATATTCTGGAATAATATTCTATGGTGAATGAAACAAACTATGGGATGTGAGAAATACTAAAACGTATACTTCCTGTAAGATGTGTGTTAACTGGGAGCATAAAAAGTAGTAAGAAAGCAAAAACTTTCATGCACAAACCCTCTAGGATGTTCAATGTCATGGTAGTTTTATGGTATGTTTATATATATTTTAAATTTTATTTTATTTTAGGTTCCAGGATACATGTGCAGACGTGCAGGTTTGTTACATAGGTAAACGTGTGCCATGGTGATTTGCTGCACCTAACCACCCATCACCTAGGTATTAAGCCCTGCATGCATTAGCCATTTGTCCTGATGCTCTCCCACCCTCCACCCGCCGACAGGCCCTGGTGTGTGTTGTTCCCTCCCTGTGTCCATGTGTTCTCTTTATTCTACTCCCACTTATTAGTGAGAACATGCGGTGTTTGGTTTTCTGTTTCAGTTACTTTGTTGAGGATGATGGCTTCCAGCTTCATCTATGTCCCTGCAAAGGACATGATCCCATTCCTTTTTATGGCTGCATAGTATTCCATGATATATATGTACTACATTTTATGTATTCTATCATTGATGGGCATTTGGATTGATTCCAAGTCTTTGCTATTGTGAATAGTGCTGCAATAAACATATGTGTGTGTATCTTTATAATAGAATGATTTATATTCCTTTGGTTATATACCCAGTAATGGGATTGCTGGGCTAAATGGTATTTCTGGTTCTAGATCCTTGAGGAATTGCCACACTGTCTTCCACAATGGTTGAACTAATTTACATTCCCTCCAACAGTGTAAAAGTGTTCCTATTTCTCCACAGCCTTGCCAGCATCTATTGTTTCTTGACTTTTTGATAATTGCTCTTCTGACTGGCATAAGATGGTAGCTCATTGTGGTTTTAATTTGTATTTCTCTAACAATCAGTGATGTTGAGCTTTTCTTCATAATTTGTTGGCTGTGTAAGTATCTTCTGAGAAGTGTCTGTTCATATCCTTTGCCCACTTTTTGATGGGGTTATTTGTTTTATTATTGTAAATTTGTTTAAGTGCCTTGTAAATTCTGGATATTAGACCTTTATCAGATGGGTAGATTGCAAAATTTTTTTCCCATTCTTCAGGTTGCCTGTTCACTCTGATGGTAGTTTCTTTTGGTGTGCAGAAGCTCTTTAGTTAATTAGATCCTGCTTGTCAATTTTTGCTTTTGTTGCAATTGCTTTTGACAATTTCATCATAAAATTTTTGCCCATGCCTATTCTCTGAATGGTATTACCTACATTTTCTTCTAGGATTTTTATCGTTTTAGGTTTTACATTTAAGTCTTTAATACATCTTGAGCTAATTTTTGTATAAGGTGTAAGGAAGGGGTCTAGTTTCAGTTTGCTGCATATGGCTAGCCCATTTTCCCAGCACCATTTATTAAATAGGGAATCATTTCCCCATTGCTTGTTTTTGTCAGGTTTGTTGCAATTCAGATGGTTGTAGATGTGCCGTCTTATTTCTGATCTGTTGGTCTATGTGTCTGCTTTGGTACCAGTACCATGCTGTTTTGGTTACTGTAGCCTTGTATTATAGTTTGAAGTCAGGTGGCATTATGCCTCCAGCTGTGTTCTTTTTGCTTAGGATTGTCTTGGCTATACAGGCTCCTTCTTGGTTCCATATGAGTTTTAAAGTAGCCTTTTTTTTTTAATTCTCTGAAGAATGTCAATGGTAGTTTGATGGGAATAGCACTGAATCTATAAATTACTTTGGACAGTATGGCTATTTTCACAATATTGGTTCCTCGTATCCACAAGGATGAAATGTTTTTCCATTTGTTTGTGTCCTCTCCTAATTCCTTGAGAAGTGGTTTGTAGTTCTCCTTGAAGTCTTTCACATCCCTTGTTAGCTGTATTCCTAGGTATTTTATTCTCTTTGTAGCAATTATGAATGAAGGTTCATTCATGATTTGGTTCTCTGTTTGTCTATTGTTGGTGTATAGAAATGCTTGTGATTTTTGCACATTGATTTTGTATCCTGAGACTTTGCTGAAGTTGTTTATCAGCTTAAGGAGATTTTGGGCTGAGACGATGGGGTTTTCTAAATATACAATGTCATCTGCAAACAGAGACAATTTGATTTCCAGTCTTTTTATTCAAATACGCTTTATTTCTTTCTCTTGCCTGATTGCCCTGGCCAGAACATCCAATACTATGTTGAATAGGAATGGTGAAAGAGGATTTCCCTGTCTTGTGATAGTTTTCAAAGGGAATGCTTCCAGCTTTTGCCTATTCAGTATGATATTGGCTGTGGGTTTGTCATAAATAGCTCTTATTATTTTGAGATATGTTCCATCAATACCTAGTTTATTGAAAGTTTTTAGTATGAAGGGATGTTGAAATTTATCGGAGGCCTTTTCTGCATCTATTTAGATAATCATGTGGTTTTTGTCATTGGTTCTGTTTATGTGATGAATTGCATTTATTGATTTGTGTCTGTTGAACCAGCCTTCATCCCAGGGATGAAGCCGACTTGATTGTGGCAGATAAGCTTTTTGATGTGCTGCTGGATTTGATTTGCCAGTATTTTATTGAGGATTTTCACATTGATGTTCATCAGAGATATTGGCCAGAAGTTTTCTTATTTTGTTCCGTCTCTGCCAGGTTTTAGTATCAGGATGATGCTGGGCTTATAAAATTAGTTAGGGAGAAGTCCCTCCTTTTGAATTGTTTGAAATAGTTCCAGAAGGAGTGGTACCAACTCCTTTTTGTACCTCTGGTGGAATTCGACTGTGAGTCCATCTGGTGCTGGGCTTTTTTTGGTTGTTAGGCTATTTATTACTGCTTCAATTTCAGAATTTGTTATTGGTCTATTCAAGGATTTGAATTCTTCCTGGTGTAGTCTTGGGAGGGTGTATGCATCCAGGAATTTATTCATTTCTTCTAGATTTTCTAGTTTGTTTGCATGAGATATTTATAGTATTCTCTGATGGTAGTTTGTATTTTTATGGGGTCAGTGGTGATATGCCCTTTATCATTTATATTGTGTCTATTTGATTCTTCTCTTTTTTCTTCTTTATTAGTCTAGCTAGCAGTCTATTTTATTAATGTCTTCAAAAAAGAAACAACTTCTGGATTTATTGATTTGCTGAAGCATTTTCTTGTGTCTGTCTCTTCTTCAGTTCTTCTCCGATCTTAGTTATTTCTTGTTTTCTGCTAAATTTTGGATTTATTTGCCCTTGCTCCTCTAGTTCTTTTGTTGTGATGTTAGGGTGTCAGTTTGAGTTCTTTCTAGTGCTACAAATTTCCCTCTAAACATTGCTTTAGCTGCATCCCAGAGATTCTGGTATGTTGTCTCTTTGTTCTTATTGGTTTCAAGAATGGTTTAGTTTCTGCCTTAATTTCATTATTTACCTAGAAGTCAGTCAGGAGCAGGTTGTTCAATTTCCATGTCATTGTTGGTTTTGAGTGAGGTTCTTAATCCTGAGTTCTAATTTGATTGAACTGTGGTCTGAGAGACTGTTTGTTATGATTTCAGTTCTTTTGCATTTGTTGAGGAGTGCTTCACTTCCCATTATGTGATCGATTTTAGAGTAAATGCCACGTGGCACTGAGAAGAATGTATATTCTGTTGTTTCAGGCTGGAAGGGCTTGCAGATATCTATCAGGTTCACTTGATCCAGAGCCAAGTTCAAGTCCTGAATATCCTTGTTAGTTTTCTGTCTTGATGATCTGTCTAATGTTGAGAATGGGGTGTTAAAGTCTCTTAGTATTATTGTGTGGAAGTCTACGTCTCTTTGTAGCTCTCTAAGAGCTTGCTTCATGAATCTGGGTGCTCCTGTATTGGGTGCATATACATTTAGGATAGTTAGCTCTCCTTGTTGAAGTGACCCCTTTACCATTATGTTATCCCCTCCTTTGTGTTTTTTATCTTTTTTGGTTTAAAGTCTGTTTTATCAGAAACTAGGATTACAATCCTTGCTTTTCTCTACTTTCCATTTGCTTGGTAAATTTTTTCCATCCCTTTATTTTGAGCCTATGTGTGTCCTGGCACATGTCAAGGATCTCCTGAATACAGCACACTGAGGGGTCTTGACTCTTTATCCAATTTGCCAGTCTGTGTCTTTTAATTGGGTCATTTAGCCCATTTACATTTAAGGTTAATATTGTTATATGTGAATTTGATCCTGTCATCATGATGCTAGCTGGTTATTTTGCACACGAGTTGATGCAGTTTCTTTATAGTGTCATTGATCCTTGTATTTCAGTGTGTTTTTGCAGTGGCTGATACTGGTTTTTCCTTTCTGCCCCCCATGTTCATATATTTATTCAGGAGTATTTACCACCTATGATAGGCCAGGAATTATTCTCTTCTTGGCCCTAAAGATAAAGAGGTGAACAGGATACATAATTCTGATAATAATAACTTTAGATAACTGCTATGAAATGAAAGACAGAGTGGAGTTATCAAGAGTTATTGAGTGGGGGAGTGGTGAGAAGTTGTAATTTTAAATAGATTAGTCAAGTAACTCTCACTACCACCACCACCACCATTTCAGGCAGTACCATGTGATTTAAGGAGGAATAGAAAACATTAGGTGGAATGATGGAGGAGAAAGTAGATTTTGAATTGAACTATAAAGAATGAAGAGAATTTTGAACAAATAAGGGAGGAGATGTGAATTCCAAATTAAGGGAATCGTCATAATAGTGGTATGTAGTCAGGAAAGATCAAGCCATACCTGGAGAAGAATTATTTAGGGTTCCTGCAGGAGATGAGTTACAAAGTAGGTAGTACTTAGATTTTATAGACAGTGGTTACAAATATATTTAGTTAAATGAAGAGTGTGCCAGTAAGCCAGTAGAGTTTATTAAAACAAAAACAGTATAGGAGACTGTACATAACACCATGTTAAGAAAGTTAACTCAGAAATGATGTGCAGGGTACATTAAACAGAATAGGAATGGAGACAAGGCACTCCACTAGAACACTATGACAACATTACACAAAAGAGGGGCTGGGAAGTCAAGACTTAATCAAGGGAGGCATCAGTAGGTATGGGAAGAAAAAGAAGACGGTCCTGAGAGAATAGTGAAGAAAGACACTAGACAACTTGTATCTACCTGATCTATAAGCCTTTTTCTATCTCTCTTTCAATCTCTTAGGCTCTTACATTGTATGTTATTTATTTTCCCTTCTTGGTATCTCTAAGTCTCTTTATCTTTTAAATTTTCTCTCCAGTGTCTGTATTTATTTCTCTCTTCCACCACTTAGTCTTCCTTCCCATTTGTCTTGACTTCATAACTGTACTTTACATGGTAATAACACATAGAAAATAGTAATTAAGTACTTTTACTTTTAACATTAGTAATTTCTACTTTTTTTTCTAAATTTAGTCATTATATAACTAAGACTTTTTATTCCCCATCAAAAAACCCTTGTTTTTTCTGTATGTTTTATCTGATTCTGTTTTCTAAATTTTTAGCGAAAAAAGTTTCCCAAATTTAAGATACTCTATAAAATAGTAATATGTTTTGGGGACTTAGTTTTAGAAAAATCCCTCAGGAAATTCTGCCTTTTGAATAGAATAAAGAATGCATGTCAAATGGGATTGAAAATTATGACTGTCTTCATTCCAATGTGAAGATAAATTGGCCTTGGCCCATGCAGCAGGTGATAAAATTAAAATTAGCTACCAACAGATCTGGAGGTAAAACATCACTTTACTGTGTTTACATTTCTTAATCTATTGGTGATGATGTTTTATTAAGAAGGGCCTACTAAAGAAAGAAAGGTCAAAAGCATGGCTTAAGTAGTAAGAACAGAAAAATATGACACACATATGAGGAATGTGAAGAAAAATATTTCACATTATTTAATATACAGAAAGCAATATGAAAAAGCAGGGAAATTTTCAAGTGATGAAGTCCATTAAACAAATATCTCATGAAAGAGGGAAACAGTCTTTGAATGCAAAATTCAGGAATGGAAAAATAAATAAGAAGATAATATCTAAAGAGAGCAACATTGATATCTCTCATAGAACTAACTAAAGCTCAAGAATAAGTACACTTAGACTGGAGTGTATCAACTCTTCAATATCTGTCCCAACATTGCAATTATCTTTTAAACTTTCAATAAAAACAGCTGACTGGTGAAAAAGTTAATTTTGTAGTATAAGATTATTGAACCTGTGAGGTTCAATAAGTGAGTTTACTATCCAAAGAGGAAATTGGTGGCTGCCACTTGCTCCCTATAGTTTTGACAGCTTCTTTGATGTCCTTATTCCTCAATGTGTAAATTATAGGGTTTAGCATGGGGGTAACAACACTGTACAACACTGAAACCAACCTATCTTTCTTTAATGAGTAAGTTGAGATGGGCCGTACATATGTAAAGATGGCGCTGCCATAAAAGAGAAAGACAATGGCCAGGTGGGAGGCACATGTAGAAAAGGCTTTTCGTCTTCCCTCTGAGGACTGGATCCTCAAGATGGTGGAGATTATGCAAATGTAGGAAAGTACGATACAAAGGAAAGGAGTCCAACCAATGAAGACCCCAGTGGATAGCAGTGCCAACTCATTGACAGAAGTGTTTCCACAAGACAAGATCAGCAAAGGGGGGATGTCACAGAAGAAGTAATTAATCTGATTGTTGCCACAGAAGGGCAGGCAGAATGTCAACACTGTATGCACCACTGAGTTAAGGAAACCAGCAGCCCAGCATGAGGCTGCTAATTGATTGCATAGAACCTTGCTCAGAATAACTGAATACCTTAAAGGATTGCAGATTGCAATGTAACGATCATATGCCATTGCTGCCAGTAGGAGACACTCTGATCCTACAAAGAAAACAAATGCAAAAAGTTGAACCACACACCCCACATAAGAAATGCTTTTTTTCTTTGAGAGGAGGTGCACCATCATCTGGGGGACATTGCTGGTGGTGTAGCAGATGTCAATAAAGGCCAAGTTCCCTAGAAAATAATACATAGGTGTATGCAGGTGTGGATCAGTCACAGTCGTCAAGATAATTAATATATTTCCTCCCAAAGTACAGAAATAAGTCAGAAAGAAGATGGTGAATAGTAAAAACTGCCATTCATTTAGGTTGGAGAATCCCAAGATGATGAATTCAGTTATAGCTGTTTGATTCTTTCTTTCCATGATGTCGCCTGGTTTCCTTTCAGGAATTGGGCAAAGAGAAGACCAGATTATAAAAATGAATCATATGCTGCAATAGCATGACCTGAAAAATAAGGGAAAAAACGGTTACAAATAAAAGTAATCACCATTTATGTCAAACCAGAGAAGCAGCATTCTTTTGCAAACCATAGCTCCTACCTACCATGCAACACAGATATAAATACATCCAATGTTTCACCTGCAGATCAAATCTTTTTAAATATACAACACTGGAAGTTTTAAATTAGAATACAAATGGACACCATATGTCCTAGAGTTCTCTGTTAATAATGGCTGGGTCATGCTCACCGGCATTTTCTTGGGGATGTGTGAACTTGTGCTGTAGAATGCGATTTCTAGAAGAATCTCTGGTATTCATTTGCTTCTTTGAAGCCATCCCTGCTCTCCTTTTTCATACTTCAACGTTAATATAAATTTTGTTTTATATTCTTTTCCGATTAAAATTAATGTATTTGTTTTAGAATATTTGGGAAAAATATAGAAAAGAAAATTTAAAACATTAAAAATCTTTAGTAGTCACCAGAGAAAATCTCTATTAATGATTTGGTATATGTTCTTCTGATCCATTTTCCATATAGAAATGTTGACTAGAGGATCAAAAGTACCTATTTTAATCTGATTTTTCCTTAATTTTCCGTGGCAATACATTTTATGCTAAAACATGATCTTTGAGTTGTATTCAAGTATTTGTATGAATATAGCAAAGTTTTTATATATCCCACCCTTATTAATGAATATTTATATTGTTTTATTTGTTCATTTTTGATATGATAAATTTCAACAAGAAGCATATTGAATTAGATTCCCTGAATTTGGGGTTAGGTTATCTGAATTTTTATAAACTTTCCAAGAGACTTATCCTAATGAATTAGAAACCTATTGCTATAGATCATCAATCTGGAAAATTCAAGAGCTATTTGGCTGGTGCAGGAATTAGTGTCTGTTTCAACAAATTATTGTTAAGTGCTTCATATAGAAGGATGCTGATAATCTCTGAGCACTTCCTACACAGCATCTCATTTAGTCTTTACATAAATCCTTTAAGATAAGTAATATTTATCATTCCCATTCTCTGGATGAGAGCACCAAGCCTCAGCAAGATAAACGTCTGGAAGATGTCACGCAGCTAGCAGGTAAAAAAAAGGTAGCTTTATCACTCCCAAAGCTAATATACTTTCAGTTGAGTGGCTAAAAATTTAATTTCCATTAACTTATGACAACAGAATGCCCTTAAAAAACACTTCTCTTGTTTTGAATATAACCTACGTTCATACAACTGAATTATTTTAACTGGTTACAAATTGTTATGACTTCTATTTCTGACTGTTAATGGCAATGTGCTATGCCTGCAGTGTTTTGATGGTTAAATCCAATTGTTTCTAAATACCTGGTTTTTATTTGAATATGTTTATTTGAACAATCAATTTCTAGTGTAGTTTTTTATTTCCTGGACCAGCTATAGATTAATTTAAATGTTCATGTTTGTGTTATTAAAAGATACTCTTCTAGAGCTTAGTTTAAGTTGGTTAATAAAAATGTTTAATAAAATTAAAACAGTTGTAGGGAGAATCCCCTAATTTAAAATGCTCAAGGCCTAATTCAAGTGAGAAAAATTAATCTGCAGTTTGATGTTTGAAGCAAATTATAAAAACTTAGATAAATAAAACAAAATAAAAACTTAAAAATGAAGATAATTGTTGTATATTCATTCAAACTATATACTTTATCGATTGCCCTCACCTATAGACAAATATGCATTTCAATGTCAAGTTTGAGAGGTGGCTTAATTGTGCTTTTGTTGTAATTGCTGTCTTCTTTCCTCGTGAACTACTGTGGATATTTTTAATGAAGGGAGAGGATAAGTTGAAAAAATTCACATAATATAGTATTTCACATTACCACAACTGAATAAATTCACTGGGACAATTTTCATTCCATCTACAGAAGAACTCCAAAATTGTATTCTCAAATCAATCTTTTTCCCTATTCCAAATCTCTATCTCCCCTTTCATCTTTTTTAACATTTCCTTCCACTTCTGAGGAGGAATTAACCCTTCTACTCATTTTATTCAACAAATGTATTTTAAGGCAAAAATGTGGAAAAAAGGGAACTGGCACAGTGTTAATGGAAATGTAAATTAATAGAGCCATTTTGGAAAACAGTGCAGTTTCTTCAAAAAACTAAAAATGCAACTACTATGTGATCCAGCAATTCCACTTCTGGATATATATTCAAAGGAATTGAAATCAGTATCTCAAAGAGATATCTGCACTCCCATGGTCTTTGCAGCATTATTCACAGTAGCCATGGAAACAACCTAAATCTTCACCAATAGATGAATGACTAAAGAAATGTTATATATACCTGGTGGAATACTATGCAGCCTTTAAAAAAAGAAAATCCTGTCATTTCTGACATGGGTTAAGCTAGAGGACATTATGCTGAGTGAAATGAGCCAGGCACAGAAAGACAAGTATTGCATGATCTCCCTTATATGTGGAATCTAAAAAGGTCAAATCTATTGAGGTAGAAAATAGAATGGTGGTTACCAGAGTTTGAGGTAGGAGTGGACAGGGGTGGACTGGTCAAAGGGTACAAAGTTTCAGTTACACAGGAGAAGTAACTTCTAATGATTTATTGTATAGCATGGTGACTATAGTTAAAATGTATTGTATATTCCAAAATTGCTAATGGAGTGGATTTTAAATATTTTCCCCACAAAGTAATGATAAGTATGTGAGGTGGCAGATATGTTATTTAGCCTGCTGTACTCATTCCAAAATATATACATGCATTATAACATCACGTTATATATATACTGCAGACTAGAGTGGTGACAATTTGGTTGGATAGAAATAGAGGCATTTGAGAGATATTAGAATATACAGTGTTACAATTTTGGTATAAAATGACGAAGAAGGATAAATTAAGGATAGTAGTTATAACCAACATATATTAAATGCTTATTATAACATAACCATTCAACAATCATTGTATTACCCAGTTCACATGCCCACACACACTAAAAACGCACACGCACACAATGAAAGAGACATATTATGTCCACATTACAAGTAAAAAATTTTAAAATAAGTTTCAGAGAAATTAAATAATTTGCCTAAAGTTACTCAGACTTGCAGTGGTGTTATTGGGTTTTACATTTCACTTTGTGGCCTAAACGAGTGCACTGTGCTGATCTAGATTCCTGGATTGAACAAGCAGATGGCTGGGGGTGTCATTCTCTGAAATGAAAGCAGGAAATTGGCACTTGTTGGCAAATCTGGCAAGATGGCTGAATAGGAACAGCTCTGCTCTGCAGCTCCCAGTGAGACCAATGCAGAAGGCAGGTGATTTCTGCATTTCCAACTGAGGTACCAGTTAGGTAACTGGTTAGGAAGCAGGTGCAGCACCTGGAGGGCAGGCAGAAGCATGGTGTGGCATCGCCCCACTCGGGAAGTGCAAGGAGCTTCCCCAGCCAAGGGAAGCTGTGAGGGACTGTGCTATTCACCCACATACTACACCTTTCCCACGGTTTTTGCAATCCGCAGACCAGGAGATTCTCTCATGTGCCTACACCACCAGGGGCCTGGGTTTCAAGCACAAAACTGGGTGGCTGTTTGGGCAGACACTGAGCCAGCTGCAGGAGTTTTTTTCATACCCCAGTGGCACCTGGAACATCAACAGACAGAACTGTTCACTCCCCTGGAAAGGGGGCTGAAGCCAAGTGCTCTCACTCAGCGGGTCCCACTCCTATGGAGCCCAGCAAGCTAAGGACCACTGGCTTAAAATTCTCACTGCCAGCACAGCAGTCTGAAGTCGACCCTGGATGATCGAGCTTGTTGTGGGGAGGGGCATCCACCATTAGTGAGGCTTGAGTAGGCAGTTTTCCCCTGACAGTGCTAAGGAGGCCTGGAAGTTTGGACTGGGTGGAACTCAACACAGCGTGGCAAAGTGGCTGTGGCCAGACTGCTTCTCTAGATTCCTCCTCACTGGGGAGGGCATCTCTGAAAGAAAGGCAGCAGTCCCAGTCAGGGGCTTAGAGATAAAACTCCCATCTTCCTGGGACAGAGCACCTGGGGGAAGGGGCAGCTGTGGGCGCAGCTTCATCAGACTTAAGCATTCCTGCCTGCCGGCTCTGAAGAGAACAGTGGATTCTGACAAGGAGGGTTCTCCCAGCACAGCGCTCAAGCTCTGCTAAGGGACAGACTGCCTCTGCCAGTGAATCCCTGACCCCAGTGCCTACTGACTGAGAGAGACTCCCCAACAGGGGTTGACAGACACCTCATAGAGGAGAGTCCAGCTGGCACTGGGCTTCCCTTTGGGATGAAGCTTCCAGAGGAAGAAGCAGGCAGTAATAGTTGCCGTTCTGCAGCCTCCACCGGTGATACTCAGGCAAATAGGGTCTGGAGTGAACCTTGAGCAAACTGCAGCAGACCTGCAGAAGAGGGGCCTGACTGGTAGAAGAAAAACTAACAAACAGAAAGCAATAACATCAACATCAACAAAAAGGACCCCCACACAAAATCCCATCCAAAGGTCATCAACCTCAAAGATCAAAGGTAGATAAATCCACGAAGATGAGGAAAAACCAGCACAAAAATGCTGAAAATTCCAAAAACATTCTTCTAGAGAAAAATGTCTTTTCTCCAAATGATTGCAACTCCTCTCCAGCAAGTGCACAAAACTGGGCAGAGAATGAGTTTGATGAATTCACAGAAGTAGGCTTCAGAAGGTGGGAAATAACAAACTCCATTGAGCTAAAGGAGCATGTTCTAACCCAATGCAATGAAGCTAAGAAATTTGACAAAAGATTACAGGAACTGCTAACTAGAAGTTTAGAGAAAAACATAAGTGACTTGATGGAGCTGAAAAACACATCATGAGAACTTCATGAAGCATACACAAGTATCAATAGCTGAATTGATCAACCAGAAGAAAGGATATCAGAGATTGAAGATCAACTTACTAAAATAAGGTGTGAAGACAATATTAGAGAAAAAAGAGGGAAAAGGAAGGAAAAAAGTCTCCAAGAAATATGGGACTATGTGAAAAGACCAAACATGTGATTGGGTGGTATACTTGAAAGTAACATGGAGAATGAGACCAAGTTGGAAAACACACTTCAAAATATTATCCAGGAGACCTTCCCCAACCTAGCAAGACAGGTCAACATCCAAATTCAGGAAATACAGAGAACACCACTAAGATACTCCTCGAGAAGGGCAACCCCAAGACACATAATCATCAGATTATCCAAGGTCGAAATGAAAGAAAAAATGTTAAGGACAGTCAGAGAGAAAGGTCAGGTTACCTACAAAGGGAAGCCCATCAGACTAACAGTGGATCTCTCCGCAGAAAACCCACAAGCCAGAAGAGAGTGGGGACCAATATTCAACATTCTTAAAAAAAAAGAATTTTCAACTCAGAATTTTGCATACAGCCAAACTAAGCTTCATAAGTGCAGGAGAAATAAAATCATTTACAGACAAGCAAATGCTGAGGGATTATGTCACCACCAGGCCTGCTTTACAAGAGCTCCTAAAGGAAGCACTAAACAGGGAAAGGAAAAAGTAGTACCAGCCACTGCAAAAACACACCGTAATATAAAAACCAAAGACACTATGAAGAAACTGCATCAACTAATGTTCAAAGTAACCAACTAGCATCATGATGAATGGATCAAATTCACACTAACAATATTAATCTTAAATGTAAATGGGCTGAATGTCCCAATTAAAAGACACAGACTGGCAAATTGAATAAAGTGTCAAGACCCATCAGTGTGCAGTATTCAGGAGACCCATCTCATGTGCAAAGACACACATAGGCTCAAAACAAAGGGACAGAGAAATATTTACCAAGCAAATGGAAAGAGAAAAAAAAAGCAGGGGTTGCAATCCTAGTCTCTGATAAAACAGAATTTAAACCGACAGAGATCAAAAAAGACAAAGAAAGGCATTACACAATGGTAAAGGGATCAATGCAACAAGAAGAGCTAACTATCCTAAATACATATGCACCCAATAAAGGAGCACCCAGATTCATAAAACAAGTTCTTACAGACCTACAAAAGACTTAGACTCCCATACAATAATAATGGAAGACTTTAACACTCCACTGTCAATATTAGACAGATCAATGAGACAGAAAATTATCAAGAATATTCAGGACTTGAATTCAGCTCTGGACCAAGCAGACCTAATAGACATCTACTGAACTCTCCACCCCAAATCAACAGAATATACATTCTTCTCAGCACCACATAGCAATTATTCTAAAATCGACCACATAATTGGAAGTAAAACACTCCTCAGCAAATGCAAAAGAATGGAAATCAAAACAAACAGTCTCTCAGACCACAGTGCAATCAAATTAGAACTCAGCATTAAGAAACTCACTCAAAACCTCACAACTACATGAAACCTCACAATTACATTAACAACCTGCTCCTGAATGACTACTGGGTAAATAATGAAATTAAGGGAGGAATAATGAAGTTATTTGAAACCAGTGAGAACAAAGAGACAATAAACTATAATCTCAGGGACACAGCTAGAGCAGTGTTAAGAGAAAAATTTAGAGCACTAAATGCCCACGTCAGAAAGCAGGAAAGATTTAAAATCGACCCCCTAACATCACAATTAAAAGAGCTAAAGAAGCAAGAGCAAACACATTCAAAAGCTAGCAGAAGACAAGAAATAACTAAGATCAGAGCAGAACTGAAGGAGACAGAGACACGAAAAACCCTTCAAAACATCAGTGAATGCAGGAGCTGGTTATTTGAGAAGATTAACAAAAGAGATAGACTGCTAGCCAGACTAGTAAAGAAGAAAAGAGAGAAGAATCAAATAGACACAATAAAAAATGGTAAAGGAGTTATCACCACTGATCCCACAGTAATAGAAACTACCATGAGAGAATACTATAAATATCTCTATGCAAATAAACTAGAAAATCTAGAAGAAATGGATAAATTCCTGGACACATACACCCTTCCAAGCCTAAACCAGGAAGAAGTCGAATCCCTGAATAGACCAATAACAAGTACTGAAATTGAGGCAGTAATTAGTAGCCTAAAAAAACAAAAAATCTCCAGGATCTGATGGATTCATGGCTGAATTCTACCAGAGGTACAAAGAGGAGCTGGTACCATTCGTTTTGAAACTATTCCAAACAATAAAAAAGAGGGACTCCTCTCTAGCTCATTTTATGAGGCCAGCATCATCCTGATACCAAAACCTGGCAAAGACACAACAAAAAAAGAAAATTTCAGTCCAATATCCCTAATGAACCTCGATGCAAAAATGCTCAATAAACTACTGGCAAACCAAATCCAGCAGCACATCAAAAATCTTATCCACTACAATCAAGTCGGCTTCATACCTGGGATAAAAGGCTGGTTCAACATACACAAATCAATAAACATAATCTATCACATAAACAACCAATGACAAAAACCACATGATTATCTCAATAGATGCAGAAAAGGCCTTTGATAAAATTCCATACCCCTTCATGCTAAAAACTCTCAATAAACTAAATATTGATGGAACATATATATAAAAAAAGACCTATTCACAACAAACCCATAGCCAATATCATAATGAATGGGCAAAAGCTGGAAGCGTACTCTTTGAAAACCTGCACAAGTCAAGGATGCCCTCTCTCACCACTCCTATTCCACATAGTATTGGAAGTTCTGCCCAGGGCAATCAGGCAAGAGAAAGAAATAAATGGTATTCAAATAGGAAGAGAGGAAGTCTAATTGCCTCTGTTTGCAGATGACATAATTGTATATTTAGAAAACCCCATCATCTCAGCCCAAAACTCCTTAGGCTGATGAGCCACTTCAGCAAAGTCTCAGGATACAAAATCAATGTGCAAAAATTACAAGCATTCCTATACACCAATAATAGACAAGCAGAAAGCTGAATCATGAGTGAACTCCCATTCACAATTACCATAAAAAAATAAGATACCTAGGAATACAACTTACAAGGGATGTGATGGACCTCTTTAAGGAGAATTACAAACTGCTTCTCAAGGAAATAAGAGAGGACACAAATGAAGAGAAAAAAATTCCATGGTCATGGATACGAAGAATCAATACTGTGTAAATGGCCATACTGCCCAAAGTAATTTATAGATTCAATGCTATTCCCATCAAGCTACCATTGATTTTCTTCTCAGAACTAGAAAAAACGACTTTAAATTTCATATGGAACCAAAAAAAGAGCCCGTATAGCCAAGACAATCCTAAGCAAAAAGAACAAAGCTGGAGGCATCATGTTACCTGACTTCAAACTAGACTACAAGGCTACAGTAACCAAAACAGCATGATACTGGTACCAAAACTGATATATAGACCAATGGAACAGAACAGAGGCCTCAGAAATAACACCACACATCTACAACCTGACAAACCTGACAAAACCTTTGTTTTGACAAACCTGAAAAAACCTGACAAACCTGACAAAAACAAGCAATGGGGAAAGGATTCTTTGTTGAATAATTGGTGCTGGGAAAATTGGCTAGCCACATGCAGAAAACAGAAACTGGACCCCTCCCTTACACCTTATACAAAAATTAACTCAAGATGGATTAAAGACTTAAACATAAAACCTAAACCCATACAAACCCTAGAAGAAAACCTTGGCAATACCATTCAGGACATAGGCATGGGCAAAGACTTCATGACTAAAACACCAAAAGCAATGCAACAAAAGCCAAAATTGACAAACGGGATCTAATTAAACTAAAGAGCTTCTGCATAGAAAAAAAAAAAAAAACTATCATCGGACTGAACAGGAAACCTACAGAATGGGAGAAAATTTTGGCTATCTATCCATCTGGCAAAGGTCTAATATCCAGAATCTACAAGGAACTTAAACATATTTACAAGAAAAAACAAACAACCCCATCAAAAAGTGGGTGATGGATATGAACAGACACTTCTCAAAAGAAGACATTTATGTGGCCAACAAACATATGAAAAAAAGCTCATCATCATGGGTCATTATAGAAATGCAAATCAAAACCACAATAAGATACCATCTCACGCCAGTTTGAATGGAAATCATTAAAAAGTCTGCAAACAGCAGATGTTGGCGAGGATGTGGAGAAATAGGAAGGCTTTTACATTGTTGATGGGAGTGTAAATTAGTTCAACCATTGTGGAAGGCAGTGTGGCAATTACCCAAGGATCTATAACCAGAAATACTATTTAACCCAGCAATCCCATTACTGGGTATATACCCAAAGGATTATAAATCATTCTACTATAAAGACACATGCATACGTAGGTTTATTGTGGCATTATTTAAAGTAGCAAAGACTTGGAACCAACACAAATGCCCATCAATGATAGACTGGATAAAGAAAATGTGGCAC
This sequence comes from Homo sapiens, assembly GCF_000001405.40. Lineage (NCBI taxonomy): Eukaryota > Metazoa > Chordata > Mammalia > Primates > Hominidae > Homo > Homo sapiens. The sequence continues at coordinate 631,452 of NT_167247.2, forward strand.
ATATATACCATGGAATACTATGCAGCCATAAAAAAGAATGAGATCATGTCCTTTGTAGGGACATGGATGAAGCTGGGAACCATCATCCTCAGCAAACTATCACAGGAACAGAAAACCAGACACTACATGTTCTCACTCATAAGTGGGAGTTGAACAATGAGAACACATGGACACAGGGAGGGAACCTCACACACTGGGGCCTGTTGGGGAGTAGGTGGCAAGGGGAGGGAGAGCATTAGGACAAATAGCTAATGCATGCGGGGCTTAAAACCGAGATGACGTGTTGATCAGTGCAGCAAACCACCATGGCACATGTACACCTATGTAACAAACCTGCACATTCTGCATATGTATCCCTGAACTTAAAGTAAAGTATATTAAAAAAAAAAAAAAAAAAAAAGGAAATCCAGGGGGAGATCATGTGTTCAGTTTTGGCCATGCTGAATTTGAGATATCTGAATATCTAAGAAAATATGTTTATTTGACATATTTTGGTATGTGGCCTCAGAGGAGAGGTATGTACTAGAGATACGAATTTGTAACACATCAGCATATAGAGGATAGTTGAAACTACTCCTATGGATGGGAGAGTGTGAAGTAGGAAAAAAGAGAACACAGAATTGAACTTTCTCAGAACTAATTTCCTGCATGTAGAAGCTAAACTATGAGACTAAGAAGGAGAAGCATAAAAGTAGAAAGAAATTCAAGGAAGCACTGAATTACAGTTAGTGTATGAAAGAGTGCTGTTATTAAAAGAACTGTTTGTGAAAATAAGGGGCCCCATTTTTCTTGCCAGACCATTCCTCATGAGAAAAGCTATCCTGCAGAGAACTGCCCTCCAACACAAACATAGGTCATTATGAGATGGTATCAGCTGTCCAGTTCTCAAAATAGCGAAGGAGGACACACTTGGCTCAGCAGCCCACCTCCCTTCTCAGGGTTTCTTACACATTAAGAGAAGGAATTACTTTCTCCTGGGGATCTCCTGATGCTTTTGTTTTGTTACCCAAGTCCTCTATGTTCTGTGATCATTGCCCTTTACTTCAAAACATGCCTTTCCCATGTCCCTATTTGTGGGGAAGCTGTTGTGATAAAACGACTAAATGAAATAACTTAAACAATAATGTATTACTCCTCTAAGGTTATTTGCCTTAAAATAAGAATTTTCTTTTTCAGAATAGCCTCTTAATTTTAGTCATTTTTTTATCCACTCAGCCTGTATGTTTTTCTTCCTGCTTTCATTTCTGTCTGCTAATCTACATATTTTTAAAGCTCAGCTTAAATGCCTCTTTTCTCTTCAAGTGAAATGCTTCTGTCCCTTCCTGGAAAATCTATAGGCATTTGTTTCAATCTTGATTATGACACATAACACACAACATACTTATTTGTGTGACATATCACTTGTTTGTCCATAATATCTTATGGTGCATATTCTGTCTTACTAATCTATTTCTCAATGAATTAATACGTAACTGGGGACACAGTGGTCTTACATTCAGTAATGGATTACTACTGTTGGAATATAAGGCAGTATAGCAAAATTTTCCAAGAAAACAATTGTATTTCCTCCCTTTTTTACATACTTATTATGATGTAGAACTTGGAAAAAATGTTCAGACCTTACATATTATTTTTATTCTTACAACATTTATATTAGTTAGAGTAGAGGAGTCTGTAATTTATGGTGGATTACTTATAAGATCAAATAGTTAACAAGTAGTGAACTAAGAGTAGAAAAAAATTCTTCTATTTCCAAATCTAGAACAACATCCTGCAGCTGGTACTCAAATTGTGCTACATGGGTCATTGTTGCCTCTCATAGGCATAGATTGACCCTGAGACAGAATAGAATTCACCACGCAAAGCACAAGTATTTCACACAGAGTTATAGGAAAATTACTGCTTTTCCAAGCAGCCATGGTCTTGACTCCTTACTAAAGAACCGAAACTTGATATAATACAAGGACAACTGAGAAAATGTTTTCAGAATTTCATATCATAGTAAAGAGCTCAAGAATGGCCTCTAAGAACCCACAAGGAGAGGCCCCCAGAAAATTCACGAGAATGTTTGCCCTCCAAGCTCAGTCTTGACTTTTTCATTTCCTTCTAACAGACCCAGTAGCTCTTCATTAAAGAGTGTTCTCAAAAAAGAGACCTTAGAAATTCAGAATCTTAAAATTTCAAATTTTCTCAAAATATACTATCCAATTTCTTACTAAAAACTGAAATCACATAGCAAACGTGAAAATCAGTGTGGCTAAAGCTCAATCAATAATAGCTAGCATGCAAGGTTATTAGATCCACATGAAAGATGGTTTCTTGTGAGAAAGTCACACAAAGTGTGTTCCTGATACTATTCTCTGCAGTCCAGTGGCATTTTAGTCTCTTTTTGCAGAATAAATACACTGTCCTTTATTTAATAAAAAATCGGCAAACCAGCAGAGGGCTATTCTGAATGACATAAAAATTACCCAAAATGAAAGAAGCTTCCTGATTCACATACTCAGTAGGCTGATTGTCACCCAAAGCATGGGACAGACAATTTTATTATTCCCTCCTTTGGAACTCCTCAGGTCATTACACTTCCATCTCCTACACAGTTAGTCTCATATCCAAAAAGCAAGACAGAAAAGTGTATCTCTAAGAGCAATGAAGCTATAGTTAAGCAATTAAAAATACTTACTCACTCACCTGTGATTGGAGATATTGAGCAGAGATTACCATTCAGACTCTGAGAGACTGATATGGGGCTGTTTTTAAGAATACAACGAAGTAACACAAAATAATGTTCCCTACAGAGTCTGTGCTGATAAACTTCTGAGTGATGGGTTTTCTAGGTGAGTGCCAAGACTCTACTCAGTCCCTGAAGGCCAGTGCATGGGACTGGAGTGAGTAAGGAAAATGCCCTTTGGATTAAGAAGATCCCCACATCTTATGGGAATATTTCAAGAGCCTCGGAGACACACGTTGGGGATCTTCAAGCACAAGTCCTGAGACTCACTACTTCTGGTTCCTGCTTCAACCCCTGAGCATCTATTTGTCTTCTAGTGGCTCTGTTGCCATCATAATTATGCTTCAGAAAGTGTCCTGTGGAGTCCGACCTGCTCCAGGTGGACCACTACCTCCTGGCCCACATCTGTCTAGTGAGAAACAACCCACATGCTTCCCCTATTAACACAGGAAATGCAGTTCTCTAGATTTTGCTTCTTGGCCATGTAAGAAATATCAGTCTTTGGACTCCAAAATTCCAGATGTAGAAATCAAGCTCTCTAACTGGTTTTTCTCTCAGCTTAAATTAGGAGAAAGCATCCTCATTTCCTCCTGGAGGTGGGGGAAGCTTACATTGCACACTACTTCTCACTGAAGAAATATTCTTCAGCCACTGAAGACTGATTAGTCCTCCAAATATCTATTCCTTTGCATGTTATGTGTTCTTGAAGATGTATCAAAAACTCACTAACGAATATACAGTATCCATATATTTTGTGATAGATTAAATATTAATTTTGAGCATGACTTGTAAATTAAAAGTATAATTGCTTGATTAATTTTGATCCTATAATTATTTAAGAATTGAGGCAGCTAAGTATGCCACTATCACATAAAAACAGAATTTCTGAATCCTTTGACCTCTAATGATTATATTGCCTGCCCTTTAAAATTAAGAATTTGGATTAAAGAAGAGTTATTTCTCCCAGATTCATATGGTTCTTAATCATCACCTATGGCTTAAAATCAAATCTCAATTCTCAACAAATTAATTACCTACTAGGCATTATCCAATTTCATCACTTGCTAAATTCTTACCGGCTGACTTGGGTACACACAGCAAGAGAGTTATCATCTGAAGATATCTATGAGTGGTTATTTCACTCCAAAAACAGACGATAATAAATTTTGCATTATTCATTTATTGTATCTAACATTCATTACCAATAAGTCTTTTTAAATTTTTTTATTTTATATTTATTTTTAGTTTTTACTTTTTTAAAAAAATTCAACTTCTATTTTAGACATAGTGGATATATGTGCAGATTTGTTACATGGGAATATTGCATGATGTTCAAATTTGGAGTATGGATCTCACCACCCTGGTAATGAGCCTAGTACCTGGCTTGATAGGCAGTTTTTTAACCCATCCTCCCCCATCCCTGAAGCCTCTGGTAGTCCACAGTGTCTATTGTTCCCATACCTATGTTCATGTGTGCTCAATGCTTAACTCCCACTTATAAGTTACAACATGCAGTATTTGGTTTTCTGTTCCTGTGTTAACTTGCTTAGAATTATGCCCTCCAGCTCCATCCATGTTGCTGCAAAGGACATTATTTTATTCTGTTTTTATGGCTGCATAGTATTCCATGGTGCATATGTAACACATTTTCTTTATCCAGTCTGTCATTCCACATCTTTGCTATTGTGAGCAGCGCAACAATGAACATGTGAGTGTATGTATCCTATTGGTAGAATGATTTATTTTATTTTGATATATACCCATTAATGAGATTGCTGTATTGAATAGTAGTTCTGTTTTAAATTATTTGAGAAATCTCCAGACTGCTTTTCACAGTTGCTGGACTAATCCACATTCCCACCAACAGCATATAAGCATTCCCTTTTCTCTGCAGCTTTGATAGCATCTGTTGTTTTTTGACTTTTTAAATAGTCATTCTGACTGGTGTGAGATAATATCTCACTGCAGTTTTGATTTGCATTTCCCTGATAATTAGTGATGCTGATAATTTTTTCGTATGTTTGTTAGCCACATGTATGTCTTCTTTTGAGAGTGTTTTTTCATGTCCTTTGCCCATTTATTAATGGGATTATTGGCTTTCTGCTTGTTGACTTAAACTTTAAGTTCCCTATAGATTCTGGATATTAGGCCTTTGTCAGATGCATTGTTTGTGAATATCTTCTCCCTTTCTGTAGATAGTGTGTTTGCTCTGTTGATAGTTTCTTTTGCTGTGCAGAAGCTCTTTAGTTTAATCAGGTCTCACTTGTCTATTTTTGTTTTTGTTGCCATTGCTTTTGGTGACTTAGCCAAAAATCTTTTGCCAAGGCCGATGTTGAGAAGAGTATTTCCTAGGTTATCTTCCATGATTTCTATAATTTGAGGTCTTACATTTAAATCTTTAATCAATTTTGAGTTAACTTTTGTATAGGGTAAAAGGTAGGTATCCAGCTTCAATCTTCTGTATATGACAAGGAAGTTATCCGCGCACCATTTATTAAATAGGGAATCATTTCCCCATAGCTTGTTTTCTTCTTATAAATCTAGGAGTTTGGGGTGTCTTTGCTTTTTATGATGTATAATAAGGGATTTACCAATAATGTGTGCTCTCTAACATTAAATCAGCTGTTTTTTTCCAGTGAATAAATTGAGATTAAATGAGTGTACGTGACTATAAATGGCCATAACAAAAAAGAAATAGATAGGGTAGAGACAAAAAGGAAAAAAAATTTCACTTCCTTTTTAAAGATGATCTATTCAGAATAATAAAAATGAGGTGAAAATAGGAAAATATTATTAAGAGCAAAATAATAGTAGAATCAACTCTTTTATAGAGATATACTCATAGAACAGAGTAGGAAAACAGGGACATCATACACTGAAATATTTGCTCTGTTTGTTTCTACAAAAAAAGGAGAAAAAAAGTTAACAAAGTGTGAATTTAAGATAAGGCCTGGAGTGCTGGCTCACACCTGTAATCCTATCACTTTGGGAGGCAGAGGCAGGAAGATCCCTTGAGCCCAGGAGTTCAAGACCAGCCTGGGAAACATAGGGCGACTCTGTCTCAATTTAAGAAAAAAAAAATATAAGCATCAACCCTGAACAGTATTGCCAGCTACATATGTTGTACCTCGATCAGGAGTGACTACATTAGTGCCTGTGATTTAGATTATATCACACTAATGTTATTGATACTAGAAAGTAGTCGTGTGTACCCACAACAGATAGGAAGATCTACATTCCGCAACCTCAAAAATAATGATTTTTGTGTTTCATTACTTGCCATAATAAAGTAACGAGATTTTCTCTCCTGATTAAACATCTAAAAAATGGAATAAAATATATAAAGCAATGATTTTAATACACTGTACAAGACAGGGTTGGGTATGTCCCATGACCCATCAGCCTGATTGGAACAGCTTGTAATAGACAAGGACTTAGGTGGAGTCCTGAGAAGGATATTACCTTAGTAGTGGGGGCTAAATTAATCTCAGAATAAACAATGTTCTGGATCTACCTTAACAAAAAAAAAGTATGCCTCAAAATAAGCATAATAATTTAGGGGAAATACAGACATAAAAAGAGAGAGATTTTTTTAAAGACCCACATAGAACTTGTTTAAATAAAAAATACAAAATATAAAGTGAAAAATGCAGTGCATGGAATAAACAGTAGATTAATTACTGCAGAAGAAAAAATCAAGGAACTTGGAGATATAGATATAAAAACAATCCAAAATGAAGCACAGAGAAATCTTTTTAATAAAATGGACAAAGTATCAATGACCTATGTCATAATTTCAAGCAGTCTAACATATGTGCAAGTGGAGTACTAAAGAAGTGTTTGATTAAAAACATTGAAGAAGTAATGACTGAGTTTTTCCAAATTTGATAAAATATATAATCTATAGATCCAAGAAGCTCAATAAAAATTAAATAGAATAAATATTAGAAAACTTTACAATGAACATCATAATCTATTTGCTAAAAAAGTCATAAAGAAAAATCTTAAAATCAGCAAGAGAAAAATCAACACAGTTATTACAAAGGAATAAAGATAAGAATGGCAGCATGCATCCCACCAGAAATTATGTGAGACAGGTAATGGAGCAACAGCTTTAAAGCACATAAACAAAAGTCTGCCAATTTAAAATTTTATATACAGAGAAAACATCTCTTAAAAATAAGGGCAAAGTACTTTTTCATGCCAACAAAAGCTGAAGTAAATTATTACCAGCAGAACTTTACTACAAGAAATAGTTAAGGAAAGTCTTTAGACAACAACAACAAAAAAATGATACGAGATGAAAATCAGTGTCTCCATGAAGGGACCAAAAGTGCCAGAAATTATAAATATGTGTTTAAGTGTAAAAGACATTTTTATTATTTTTAATTACCTTAAAAATAATAGAATTTTTCAAAAAAAACAGAATTGCAGTATCTTGGATACTAATAACATAAGTAAAAGTAAAATGTGTGACATTAAAATCACAAAGCATGAGCAGGGAGATGGAAGTACAGTATGGCATGACTCTAGCAATACATCTTAAATGGTGTAATATTACGTGAAGAAATATTTTGTGAATTTAAAATGTACATTGTAAACCCCAGAGTAACCACAAAAATATAAAATAAAAAGGTATAAATAAAAGGACAATAGTGAAAATATAATGAAATCATAAAAATATTCCCATAAAAAACAGTAAATGAAAGAAGAAGCAATAACGGACAAATAGGACAAATGAAAGGCAAACAGTTGGAGGACAAATTTAAATTTAATTCTATCAAAAATTTAGTTGGAGGATAAATTTAAATTTAATTCTATCAAAAATTTATCAAATTTAAATTGTGCAAACACTCCAACTAAAACAAAGAGCTTGTCACATTGGCTTAATGGGTATGAAAATGCAGTTAGATAGAACGAAGAACTTCTAGTATTCAACAGTAAACTAATGCAGGGACAGTAATGTAGGTTTAGCTTGATTGTGGTAGTCTCTTCACAATGTATACATATACTAAAGCATCATGTTGTGAAGCCTAAATATATGCAATTTTTATTTGTTAATTATACTTCAATAAGCTGGGGAAAAACAAGATATTTTCAATGGCTAGAAAAATCTCTCCCTAAAATTAAATACCCATTAAAAATTCTCTTCAAGAATTAAGATTAACAAAAATGACATTCTAGATAAAAACTGTTGTGAGAAAAATTATCATCAGTACATTCCTGCTGAAGGAAACACAAAAGGAAAAAAAATAGGCAAAAATAAAGATTATCTCATATGGAATTTCAGTAAGATACTTCTATTACTTGGAAAATTCCAAAGGTTTTTGTCCTAGGAGAAATGCCACATTCTTTTTTACACAGCAGATTCCTACTCTAACCCTCCCCATACTTCCTACCTCCTTAGTTCTCCTTGCCACCGAATTATCCTGACATATGTACTTACGCGTTTGGTTATTTGGGGCCTCCATCACATTAAACTTTATGTTTGATGACATTATGGAATTTGTTTTGCTTGCTCCTGTGTTTCTTGAACCTACTACACTGCCTAATATAATATGTGCTCAAAATTTTTGAAAGAAAAATATAAACCAGGTAAACAAATCATTTCTTACAGTGAAGTGATGGAAATCAGTCTTAATAGAAATCAGATATCCCTCATTAGTCCTAGTGGTGTTGCTGCCAGTCTTTAAACAACTTCCTACCAAAGATTTTCTTCAGAGCCATCATCACTTCTTTGTTCCTAAGGGTGTAGATTAGTGGATTCAGTACAGGGGTGACGGCGCTATACATGATGGCCATTATCCGGTCCTGAATCATGGAGGTGGCTGAAGCAGGACGAATATATGTGAAGCCCACAGGTCCATAGAAAAGACATACCACCATAAAATGGGAGGCACAAGTGGACAGAGCCTTGTGGAGTATTCTGCAGGACCTGTTCTTAAACAGAAGGAAGCCAATTACATAGAAGCAGGAGAGAAGAGTCAGAAAGAAAGCTCCCATGGATATGCTGCCTGTGACAATGGAAAGAAGCCATTGATTGAGTAATGTGTCACTACAGGCCAATTCTAAGAGCGGCTTGACATCGTAGAAGAAGTGATTGAGTTTCTGAGAGCCACAAAAACTCAGGTGTGCAGTCATGACAGAATGCATCAGAGCGTAAAAGAAGCTGATGAGCCAGGCTGCAGCTGCCAACAGAATACACACCTGGGGGTTCATGATGACAGTGTAGCGAAGAGGATTGCAGATGGCAACAAAACGGTCAAAGGCCATGATAGCCAGTAAAATGGCCTCTGTGCTTCCCAAAAAGTGGAAGAAGTGTAGCTGGGTGATACAGCCTAGAAAAGATATAGCCCTGCGACTGCACACGAGGTTTACGAGCAGCTTGGGCAGTGTCACTGAAGAATAAGAAATATCCAGACAAGAAAGGTTTCCCAGAAAAAAATACATAGGGGAGTGGAGTTGTGGTTCCAAAACAACCATCACCAATATAGATCCATTTCCAATCAAGTTTATCAGGTAAATGATTAAGAAAATCCCAAAGAAGAAAGGCTGCAGCTCCTGAACACCAGTCAGGCCAAGTAGAAGAAACTCATTCATTGTAGTGACATTCTCCATTGCTCTGGGAAGCAAATTTAACAATAACAGAATTAATTTTTCTGAATTTTTAATTTTACACTGTGAGGATTAAATAAAGCAAGTTTACTATTTGGAGGAACCTAGGGGTGAGCAACAGTGTGAAGAATAGTTACGAACAGTAAAACTAAATTTATGTACAACAAAATTGAGGAAGACTAATATACCTGATAAATTCTGAGCTGTTAAAATGGCACTAGACTAATAAAAGCATTATATTATGAACAAATCAGATATAGATAAAGGGCATTTGTTTTCAAAACTAGGAAGTGTAAGATTTGATGGACATAATCATAACCTCATGTATGGCATTAGAATTATGTATTACAAAAATTTTAAACATACAAACAGGGAATAGTTTTTCAACTTATGATTCTAGGTTCTGGCAAAAATTCAGATGTAGCTCAGTGGGGATTTCATCACTTCTTCTAAGATACATAAAAGCCACAAGAGAGTAACACATGTCTTCTGACAACCCAAACTTTCAGTGAAAGTAAGAAACATAAACACCCACAAACCAAATGTTGTATGAGTAGAGGAGAAAAAAACAGCAAAATTAGCATCATTAGTCACAAGACTGTGTCATAGCAATGAGGCAGTGGATGTAGTTGGGAAAAACTTGAAATAGTTAGAGGTCCCATTAGTAGAAGAACTTCGAAAACACCCCCAATTTTTCAATCCAAAAGGGGAGTACCTCCCAGGGAGTGAGAATTTCTGTGGGGCAGGGGATAGAAAAAGGCACAGTCTAAGCACTGAAGGTGATGGAGAGAAGAGGTATAGTAAATATATGAAGAACAAAGGAAGCTTGTCATTTGTAAGTAATTAATAATAATAATAATAATAACAATAATAATAATCACCACCTTATCAACAGAAGAGGGAGCCCTTGCACTGAGGAATTGGAAAGGCTAACTAGGATACTCCTCCCACCCATGCCTACTAAGATTCTTCTGCTAATAATTGGTCCACAATATCATAAGTTCTCCAGTGTAAGTTCTCCATAAAATAACTCTAAAAATAGACAGAAATAAAGACATAGTTAAAACCACAATCACAATGAGAAGATTTAACAAGTTTCTCTCTATACCTGACAGAAGAATCAGCCAAAAAGTCAGTAAGGATATAAACATCTGAACAACATAATTTACAAATTTGATTAACATATAAAGAACACTGAACCCAACCAAAACATAATTCACATTATTTTCAAGTATATCTTGTACATATTTACAAAATCAAGCATGAGTTGAGTATTACCAAAAGGCTTCAAAAGGTTTCAAAAGGTTGAGCTATTCAAAGAATGTCCCTTGACCACACTGGAATTAAAAAACAATAAGAAAAATGCATCTAGAAACTCACCAATTGCTTCATATTATGTAATACACACAAATAATTCATAAAGAAAAAATTCAAATAAAATTAGAAAAAAATTGAAATGAACAATGATGAAGATGAGATATATCAAAACTTTTGGCATATAGCTAAAGAAATAAATAGAGGGAAATTGTCAGCCTTAAATGCATATGTTAGAAAAAAAGAAATATTGAAAAACCAATAACCTAAACTTTCATTTCAAACAGCTAAATGAATGAATGCATGAATGAATGAACAAATAATCCAACAACTCAAACCTAAACAAAGTAGAAGGGAAATAGCTAAAATAATAACAAGAATAATTGAAATAGAAAACAAAAGTTCAATAAAGAAAAGTCAACAAAGTCAAAATTTAGTCATTTGAAAAGATTAATGAAAGTTATCAACTCAGTAAAATTGTTAAAAGAGAGAGAGAATACAAATTTTAAGCTAGTATCACTACAGATACTATCAACGTCAAACATTGTAAAAGGTCGTTATGAACGACTTCATGCCCAAGAATTTGGCAATTTAAATAAAATTTTAAAATTACTTAAACCAAAAGTAACTTACCAAAATTGACAGTAGAAGAAAGACAATTTCAATAGTTTGATATTTATATAGGAAAGTGTAGTTCTTATTCAAAATTTTTCCAGAAAGGAAACACCAAGTCCAGATTTTACTGGTGAATTCTACCAAATAATTAAGGAAGAAATAATAACTTACACAAATACTTTCAAAACAATGAAAAAGGAGCACTTCTATATTTCTTTTATAAGGTTAGCACAACTTTGATACCAACACTTTAAAAAGAACTCAACAGAGGCCAGGCGCGGTGGCTCACGGCTGTAATCCCAGCACTTTGGGAGGCCGAGGAGGGCGGATCACGAGGTCAGGAGATCTAGACCATCCTGGCTAACATGGTGAAACACCGTCTCTACTAAAAATACAAAAAATTAGCCTGGTGTGGTGGCAGGAGCCTGTAGTCCCAGCTACCCGGGAGGCTGAGGCAGGAGAATGGCTTGAACCCGGGAGGAGGAGCTTGCAGTGAGCTGAGGTCGCGCCACTGCACTCCAGCCTGGGCGATAGAGCGAGACTCCATCTCAAAAAAAAAAAAAAAAAACAAAAAAACTTAACAGAAAGGAACTGCAGACTAACCTGTCTTGTGACTATAGATGCAAAAATCTTGAACAAATGAATAAAAACAAGCAATATCTACATCGCAACCAAATAAAATTTATTTCAAGATGTAAGGGAATTTAACATTAAAAAATAAATTAATACAATAGCCATATTAGAGAAAGAAAACAAGAAACACCACAGATGCAGTAAAAGCATTTGATTATATTTAGCACCCACTCATGATTTAATAAAATAATCCTTAGCAAACTAGGGATACAAGGGAAATTAGTTTATTTGATAAAATTAATAAAAAATACCATAAGAAAAGATCATACCTAATGAAGAAACATGAAAAGTTTCAGATCAGGAATGAGACAAGGATTTCTCCTATCATCACTTTTTTGAACATTGTCCTAGAGGTTCTAGCCAGTGTCATAAAGCAAGAAAAAAATAAATAAAATACTTTAGAATTAGAAAGGAAAAAATAAAACTCATTTTCATAGATGATATGCCTGTATGGTTAGAAGATTTCTGAGATATGAGGACATTAAACAAGAATTAAATATATTTTATATGCTAACCACAATCAAATGAAAATAAAATGTCCAATGATATTTTCAATAGCATCAGAAACAATAAATGTATAGAAATAAAACTAAACAAAAATATATAAGATCTCTATCCTAAAAACTACAAAACATTATTCTGAGGAAATAAAGAATATCTAAATAAATAGAGGAATATGGTATATTCATGGGCTGAAAGATATACTATAATGAAGATGTCTACTCTCCTAAAAGTAATCTGAAAAGTCAACGCAATCCCAGTACAAGTCCCTGATTTTTAAAATATAAAATTGTCAAGCTGATTTTAAAAGTTACATAGAAATGCAAAGGAATGGGGAACCTGAAAACCCCCTGGGGCTGGGTTCTCACCTGCATCTGGAGACCTTCCTGAGCCCCCAGCAACAAAACCACAATGCAGTGCCACTGCACAATAACTAGAACAGTTAAAATAAAAAAGTGATGGAAAACACCAAGTGTCAACAAGGATGTAGAGCACCCTGAGCACTCATATACTCCTCCAGGGAGTTTAATCAGCATAGTGATTTTGGAAAACAATCTGGCAGTATCCTCAAGCTAAACATACGCATATATGAATAAGCCAGAAATTCCATTCCTAGGTATATAGCCAATAGAAGGTGCACATACCAAAATATATAAAAATGTTCATAGCAGCAATATTTTTTATCAAAAACTGACAACTATATAAATGTCCATCAACAAAATGAAACATTGTGAAGGAGTCAAAATGAACTACAGCTATATTAAGTAATATGGATGAAGCTGTTTCTTCATGTGGGTGTGTTGGTTATACAGATATGTCATTTTGTGAAAATTTATTGAGACTCAGGATTTATCCACTTTTCTGTATGTGTGTTGTACTTTATATGTCATATAAACTTTTACAGAAAAAAAGAGAATAAGGGAGGAAACAATAATCTTGGATTTGGAAATGATTTTCTAAATATCATAGAAAAACCTGAAGCAATAAAAGATTACCAAATTTGACTACATAGGCATCGAAAATGTCTGCATGACAAAAATCCTACAAATAAAAGATCAAAACGCATCCAGGAATAAAATCACAAAGCAAATTGTAGACCATGTGCTAACATTCTTAATATATAAATTATTTAATAAACCTAAAAGACACAGACCAATTTTTTTTAAAGAGAGAAACATACAGACAATTTATAGAAAAGGAAATATGAATAGATCTTAAAGATAGGAAAAGATGCTCAACCTCATTAAAAATAAGAAAAATGCAAATTGAAATATGACATGCAGGCAAGCGCTACAGCAGGCTGCCGTGAGCACTGTAAAGAGCACCAACGCGCTGCACCTCGACTCCCACCCCACTTAGTCACAAGCACATGCCCATCTGCTCAAGGCATGTTCTGCCGCTGCCCAGCTCAGGTCTAAGCACCCAGCAAGTTTGAGATTTTTCGAAATAAAATAACTTAAAAACAGTGATTTTGACTTCCGGATAAGATGGTATATACAGGTTTCTCCCATCTCCCTTCCCATTAAGTACAACTACAAACCGTAGAAACAATACAAGAGGTAACCAAAAAAGAATTCTCAAATGTGGGAAGGTGAACTGCTTTGGGATTCCAGAACTGTAGGAACCACACAGCAGCAGGGCTGTCCCTTCACCCAACTAAAGAAGGCAATTAGTTTATTTGACAAAAAATGTTTGCCTCTTCCAACACGCCATCCCACAACAAAAGGCAGCCTAGGTAGGTTTTTTCCTGCCTCCTATCAAAAGGTAGTTCCTCCAACAACACAGCACTTGAGTAAGGGGGGCCCATCAGGAATTCTACTAACCCAGAGAAGTACTCTACTCAGCTCCTCTCTCCCTGCTGTCTGGCATTCTCTTCCCCTAAAGAGAGACAACAGGGCAGTCAGGTGGCATCTGGAGAAGGACCCCACCATAACAAGCATCCTGGCCCTCTGGCCCTGCAGGCCTGAGACTTCCTTCTGCCACCCACAGACACCAGAGTGAGAAAGGGGGAAAGAGGGCACCAGCAAGAAATATTCCAATTTGACAATCATCCAGCAAGTAGCAGTCTCTGTCCGGCACAAGCAGGCAATCCCGCCACAAGCACCCCGACAGGGAAGCCTCTTTGTCCTCATAGTCTTGATATTCTCTCCACCGCACAAGGACACCAGAAGGCTTAGCCTAAGGAAATCCCTTCTTCTGCCTTCTCAGGCAGTACCAGCAGAGAACAATGGAAACCCCAGTAGTACCAAATAAAACTAGAACACAAAAATAACAGCTAAACGTCTCTTAAAAAATTGCCATTGGATGCACAGCCTACAAAATTAGGTCAGGACCTGTGTGCTAGGTCTAAACAGAGTGACTATCTGCTAAAATTAAAGATTTAAACAGGACCTAAATTCCAGTTTATAGTTCTGTAATAGCCAAAATGTCCAAGATACAATATTTTAAAACTCTACCTGTTATAAATTATAGAACTGGAAAGTTCAGTAACAGAAATAAAATCTCACTGAATGGGCTCATTAGTTAAGTGGAGATGACCAAGGATGAAATCAATGAGCATGAGGACAGATCAACAAAATGTAGCCTATCTGAACAATGGGAGAAAACAGACTGAGAAACAATGCAAAGAACCTCGGGGACCTATGGGACAATAACAAGAGATTCAACTTTCATATCATCAGAGCTCCAGAAGAAGAGGAGAAAGAAAATAATGCCAAAGGGTATTTAAATAAATAATAGTTTAAAACTTCCCAAATCTGTTGAAAACATAAGCATATACAGGTTGAAGAAGCTGAATAAACCCCTTGCAGGATTAATCTAAAGAAATCCAAGCCAAGAAACATCATAATTTGATTAACATTACATATACTATTATACTATATAGCATGTGTATATATAAACACACAAACATAAATATATAGAGTAATATGCAGTTCAACTCCAAGGACAGTACGAAACAAAAAAAATACATTCCAATATCTCTCATGAATATAGACAAAATATCCTCAATCAATTATTAGAAAATAGAATGCAATATGTAGAAAGAATTTACATAGGCCAAGTGGATTTATTTCAGGTGTACAAGACTACATAGACATTTGAAAATCAGTAAATGTAATCTATCATATAAATAGAATAGAGAAGAAAAATTATATGATCGTATTAATTGAGGCAAAAAACAAATTTGATAAAATCCAACACCCATTTATGATAAAAACTCTCAGCAAGCTAGGAATAGAGAGAAATTGTGTCAACTCAATAAAGATCATCCATAAAAATCTTCCAGGTAAATGCTTTCCTTCTAAGATTAGGAATAAAGCGTGGATGTCTGCTCTCACCACTTGTAGTAGGCAAGAAAAAGAAATAAATGACACATATATTGAAAAGTAATAAATACAAATGTACTTATTTTCAGATGTCATTATCTATGTAGAAAACTCCCTGGATTCCACATAAAAATTCCTATAGCTAATACATGAGTTCAGCAAAGTGACAGGATACAAGATTAACACAAAAAATTAAATATTTTTAATAAACTATGAATATGTGAAAACCAAAATTAAAACACAATTTAATTTATAATCTCTCAAAATATGGAAATATCTGGCTGTAAATCTAAAAAAAATGTTTAGGAGTTGTATGCTAAAAACTTCAAGCACAGATGAAAGAAATAACAAAAGATTTACATAAAGTTAGAGACATATTATATTCATGGATTGTAAGATTTAACATAGTAAAGATGTCAATCCTCTCCAAATTGATATACAGGTTTAACACAATTCTTATCAAAATCCCAGAAATATTTCTTAGTAGACATAGATAGGATTATTCTAAAATGTGTATGTAAAGGCAAAGGAAATTGAATAGCTAACACAATTTGGAAAAAGAAGAATAAAAGTGGAAAAATCAAATTACTCAATGTTAAAGCTTATTATTTAACTATAGTTATCAGGTTTTGTATGGTATTAACACAAGTGATAGTGAAACAGATCAATGGAACAGAATAGAGAACCCATAAATCAGCCCACACAAATATGTCCAACTGATTTTTTATGAATGTGCAGAGTAACTCAATGGAAGCAAGACTGTCTTTTCAACAACTAGTTCTGAAATAATTGGACATCCATAATAGAAAAGAAAAAGCAAACTAAATTCAAATTTCACCTCATATACAAAAATTAACACAAAATAGATCATGGACTTATATGTAAAATGTAAAGCTACATATCTTCTAGAAAAAATAGAAAACAGTATTCAGGGTCTAGAGCTAGGCAAGGAGTCCTTAGATTTTCCACCAAAAGCATGACACATTAAAGGAAAAATTTTAGTTTGACCTAACCAGAAAAAAAAAAAAGCTCTGCCAAAAGACTCTATTAAGAAAATGGAAAGACAAGCTGAAGACTGAAAAAAAGAAATACTGTTTCAAATCACATATCTGAGAGAACTCTCAAAACTTAATAGTATTCTTAAAAGTCCAAAAACATGGGCAAAAACTAGGAAAAGACATACAAACATAAACAGAAAATGATATATAAATGGCAAATTAACACAGGAAAAGGTGTTCAAAATCATTTTCATCAGCACAATGCAAATTAAAACCAGTAAAATGCTACAACACATCTATCAAAATAGATAAAATAAAAATAGTGACAACACCAAATGCTAGGGAGGATACAGAAAGACTGGATCATGAATATAAAACTGGTCAGGATATAAAATGGTACAACTGCGCTGGAGAGAGTATAGTCGTTTCTTACAAAATTAAACATACACTTACTATATGACCCAACAATTGCACGCTTTGGAATTTATGTCAGTACAATAAAAACATGTTCACACAAAAACTTGTATGTGAATGTTCATAGACTATTTGTAATAGCCAAAAACTGGAAATACCCCAAATGTCCTGCAATGGAGAAATGCTTACACAAACTGTGGTATATCCATACCATGGAATGCTACTTAGCAATAAAAAGAAAACAACAATTTGGTAAACTCTCCAGGAAATTACGCTTAATTTTTTAAAAAGTGAAATCCAAAAAATTATATACTGTATGATTCCATTTATATAACATTTTTGAAATAATATTTTAGAAATGGGGAAAAGATTGGTAGTTACAGTTGGAGAATGAAGTTGGAGAAGGAGCAGAAGAGAGGTGTGTGTGGTTATGAAAGGATACCAAGAAAGATCCTTGTGGTGGAGGAACTATTCTGTATTTTGACTATGATGGCAGATACAGGAACATGAGATAAAACTGTGTAGAATTAAACTCAGATACACAAAACAAATGAATACAAATAAAACTGGGGCTATCATTAAGATTCATGGGTTGTATCAGCATCAATATCCTGATTGTGAAACTGTGCTGCAATTTGTTACCATGGGGAGGAACCATGTAAAGGGAAAACAGCATCTTTGTGTATTTTTTCTTACAACTGCATATTGTAATCATACATAAGATTTTAATTAAATGGCAAATCATATTTGTACAAAGATCAAAATACTTAATAAATTATATGTGTTTGAGAATGGCTAAATAGGAATTTCTGATGATAATTTGTACTAGTTATATGCTGGGTAATTTTTTCAATAGCTCTCAAAGTTGAAAATTGTGAATCACATACTTTGTGTTATAATTTACCTGTAGATATTATTCAATGTGTGGAAATCATTATTATATACCATAATATTTATTTGAGTATTTTAAAAGCAAAAATTAGACAGAACCCTAAGAGCCAAAGTAGGGGACGAGGTGAATTATTACACCTATGAGAGAGAATAATATGCAGCTTTAAAATATATATATGTACATATATATACACACACAAAGAAAATAGCCAGGTGGATAGATACGGAAAGGTGCACAAATCATATATATGCAAATTTTTACATATGTACCTATATACATATAAATTATATATGTTATGAATGCCAAGGTGACTTGTTAAATGATATAATCAAGATGCAGCACAATGTGAGTAGTATGCTAAAACTTCTGTTTAACATTTTTTTCTATACGCACATGTACTTCTGAATGGACATAAAAGAAACTGATAACTGTTGTAGTCTCTAGGAAGAGAAACTGGCTGTCAAGGAAACAAAGGCAGAAGAAATACTCTTTTTAGTATATTTTGAATTTTGTACCATGTTCATATATTATGTACTCAAAAAACGAAATTATTTTCTTTAAAAATAAGCACGGCAATACTATGCACAAATATATAGTTGTGAAAAAGAGCAGTGAACTGAGCATCTAAAATATTTAGGCCCAGTAATATTATGTATAAATGGCAGTGTATATGACAAGTACAGTCTGTTTTATAGATGGCAAAGTGGAGACTGTGACTTACTTTGGACTAGAAAGTCGTTACTTCGGCATCTGTTTTACAGATTATACTTGTCATACGCACTTCTCTGTTTTATCAAATCAAAGGCACTATTCCATTTATTCTTTTTTTTTTTTCAAGACTGTCTTGCTCTGTCACCTAGGCTGGAGTACAGTCATGCAATCTTGGCTCACTGCAACCTCTGTCTCCTGGGTTCAAGCAATTCTCAGGCTTCAACCTCCCAGATAGCTGGGATTACAGGTACGCATCACCACACTGTGCTAATTTTTGTATTTTAGTAGAGACAAGGTTTTACCACGTTGGCCAGCCTGGTTTCTAGTGCCTGATCTCAAGTGATCTGCCCACCTCGGCCTCCCAAAGTGTTAGGATCACAGGTGTAAGCCACCATGCCTGGCCACCATTTATTCTTATAGGTAGAATTTTGCATGTCTGTCTACTCATTGGAATATCAGATTATTAGAGGTGAAAAAAACTGAAAGTATCTTATTCTTCATATTCTTACAGTTCCTATACCATGTAGAAAAACAGAACAATGGTGTAGAAAAATAATCTATAGAATAAAATTGGTCACTTATTCTGGCTATCCATGTACTCTTACAAATGACTGTTATTCTAATATAATAATTAGTAAATATGAAATAAATTCCAAGAAAAAATGAACATAATATTGAAAGAAAGACAAATAGTAATATCTTTAAGTGACTTTGAACTAGTGACTTTGATATCATAACTACATGTCTTCCAAGTATAAAATTTATTCTGGCTATATAGCTTCTAAGAGGGAGATCTCTTGTCTAACCCCCACTCTGAGTTCTAGACTTACCTAATTTCATATTTGACTCTCCACTTGAATTCACACAAAAGCTTGTATTCATATATTCATAGAATCTTTATTCATAACAACCCAAAACTGGAAGTAGCCCAAATGTCCTTTAATGGAGGGATGGTTGAATTCTTTACTGAATTACAAAAATCAACACGTCAAACAGAACGCATCCTCTTTCCAAGCATGCTCTCACAGTGTTTCAACGTAGTGAACAGAATAAAAACCATCTAGTTGTTCAAACCAGAAATGTGAGAACCACATTGATTTCTCCTTCGCTTCAATCCACTCTCTTTAAGTCAGTCATCAAGTCTCTGAAACATCCCTCAAATTCACGTCTCTTTATCCACACTGCCGCAATCCTGGCCCAAGTCATGATTGCCTTTAAACTTAACTACTTCAAAGCAGCCCTACAGTTCTTTTCTTCCCCTACTCTCAAGCCATCTTCATAGTGTAACCAGAATGATTGTTTAAAGGCCTGCGTTACAGTATAAATTTCTATGTGAAACATTTCAGTACCTTCCAACTGGACAAGCTTACAAACCCTCCATGAATGTCTGTGGCTTATCTCTTCAGTCTCACCTTTTATATTACTTGGATGTGATCCTACTGGATATCTTCCAATTCCTCAAATATATCAAGGTGTCCCTTGACAGGGACTTCATTCATGCTTGTCCTCCCTGGATCACTCTTTACTTCCCCTGTCCCTTTTTTTTTTTTTTTTTTTTGAGACAGAGTCTCGCTCTATCGCCCAGGCTGGAGTGCAGTGGTGCGATCTTGGCTCACTGCAAGCTCCGCCTTCCCGGTTCACGCCATTCTCCTGCCTCAGCCTCCTGAGTAGCTGGGACTACAGGCGCCCACCACCACGCCCGGCTAATTTTTTGTGTTTTTAGTAGAGACGGGGTTTCACCATGTTAGCCAGGATGGTCTCGATCTCCTGACCTTGTGATCTGCCCTCCTCGGCCTCCCAAAGTGCCGGGATTACAGGCGTAAGCCACTGTGCCTGGCCTCCCGTCCTTTAATGTAAGAAAATATCTATTTATCCTTTGGGTTTCAGCCTATCTCAAATTAAGTTAGACCCTATTACGATACCCTTCTATAGGTTTCTGTACTTCCATTTGTCTGATAATCATTATTATCCTTCTTCAGCTACTTTCTCCTATCATTAAACTCTAGATTTATTACTCATTACTCACTAGTCATTAATAACTTCAACCCTTCATGATCTCAGTAATAAGCATCCTAGACTCCAACTACCACCAGGTAAATTCATAATTTACTCTCTCCAATACCACAAATCCTATAATCTTTATCCCCTAAATTATAGTTATTCTATTTCATGTTCTTTACTACTCTCATGTACTCACACTCCTCCTTACTCATCTTAAGTTCCATATGCATATTTATAGTCACTTTATAGTAGCATATATCCTTACATCCCTTGACCAATTTGTGCTTCATGTCTTTACCTGGAAAAAGTCAAACCACTCTCTACTTACTCCACATCTAAACCTTTGCAGCTGAACACGATTGGAGGAAAATGCACCTGTGCTCACTTGCCTAGATCTAAATTCATTAATACTCAACTGCATTGAAATCTTGGGAATGCCATTGACTCAGCCACCAGGCCCACCCACCTGATGACCCAAGCACTAAGCCATCCTGCCCAGGACTCCAGGAACAAACCTACTTCCAGACCACGCCATATGACCTGCCCAGAATCTCTGGATAGGCTGATGCATGAAGGGCGTTCCCTGCCGAAACAGTCTGTAAAGACTGGAATATATGCCTATTTCTTCAGATGCACAGACACCAACGCATGACCACAAGGATCATGAGCAATAAAAAAAACCCCTGAAATCTTAGAGATGCCAATCAATTACATATTTCCCTTTCTCTTTACAGGCCATACCTCTAACTCTTCTCTCTCATCCTCTCTCTCGGAGAGTGACATTGTTTCTTTTATTTTGGAAAAGTAAAGGCAGTCAGAAGAGAGTATCTCCAAGTTTCATCCTAGTATCTACCCACAGTTTTGTAACTGTGTTCATATACTGTGCATTCACTCTGTTTCTAATGGTTTCATAATTGATACTCCTGATGAAGACCACCTCTTCCACCTGTGTCCAAGAACCCATTCTCTCTCATCTTCTAAGAACACTGCTCCAGTTATTTTCTCATCTCTGTCTTAAATCATGAACATTTTCCTCTCCTGTACTACCTTTCTACCTCCATTCCATTTCTGTGTTCCCCTTTACAATTAAATTCTGTAAACATTTGCCTATACCAGCTGTTTGCAATCCTCTTTCCATTCCCTCCTACACCTATACCAATTAAAATTTTACCCTCACTCTTCTACCAAAATTTCTTTTATAAACAACACCAATAACAATTACATTAACAAATCAGAAAATGAAGATTCCTCCATTTTTATCAAAGGACATGGCAACACAGAACATAAACATGTATATTTGTAGAAAAAGTAATGGTTTTTAGCCAATAGGTACAGGTTTTTCCACAATTCATTTTTGGCATGACCTGCTCTCAATGGCATTAATAATTCTTATTGATTAATTAGCATCAGTAAGTAGTATTGAATATTTAATTATAAGATTGGTGAATTGACACAAAAACCTAGGAGCTGTATTCCGTGGGTATAGATACAGAATAAATGTTCAAAGTGAAATTATTGATAGTGGAGAGAAGAGAATTAATTTCAGGAATCATAAACATAGCTGAAGGACATTGTAACGGATGCATATAATTAAGGGTTTGGGATGTACGCTTGTGAAACTACATAAGTAAATACTTTATACAACAGTTTCGAAATTATTTTTTCCTAAATAATTAACACCATCCCTCTTCTACTAAAAATAATACTACTGCAAAGTTATATAATTATCTAACATTAAATACAATCTAATATATTATCTAACACGAATTGGAATCTGCTACTTTTATGAAAACTGATTGTGATAGATACTAAAAGGTTACTCACCTATTTTTTTTTACTTCTCCCTCACTTCCTTTTCCCTTTATTTCGTCTCTTTGTAACACAAATATACACACACTACCACTATCTCCATTAAACAGTCGTACACACTCAGACACTTAACTATAACATACATCTATACTTGATCATAGAGTCTGCTGCCCTGAAACCAAAAAAAGTCCAAAAAAAGCATAAGTAAATAGATCAGGAAATTTGAAGCTTCCCTCATAAATGTTTTATGTAATGAGCCCACCTGTTGCATCCTGTAATCTTCATAGCCTATATTCAAAGAGGTTCCTCCGTCACTCTAACCCACTCATTCCAGTGATCTCAACCTCTTTTCATCAAGAGTTTTTCTCTACTATCATAATATCATTTTTCTATTTAGTCTAAGCCAATTTGCTCTGCACATTCCTTTGCACGTATCTTAGTATAAATATAATTTTTGTGTCAAAAGAGTTATCCAAATATCATAGATCAGATGTATTTATTGTGTCCTTGAATAAAGTTATCAGAGAAAGTTCTGACTGCTCAAAACCTATTATAAACACCCTTATTGAAAACAACTTACATGGAATCTAAGCAAATCTCATGTCTTATTATGGACAGAAAATGAACAGGCTAAATCTTCTCAGTAAACCTTCCCAGTAGCATCTTGAGCATTAACACTTTGGGATTTTCTCTCCAAGGACTTATTCTCTTTATATTTCTCTTCCCCTGTGTATCAGTTTATTCCTTCTTTGATGTGCTTATGAGATCACTACATTGATTTAAGTAATAATAATAAATTTTTGGCAGAGCCCTTCATTAGTCATAAGAAAAAAAGAGTGATGATAATATAAAAGAAAGAGAAGACACAGCTCCTATCCTTGAGAAATCTAACATCTAATGAATCTGAAAAGTAATATCACTTAGAACAATATAATGAAAACTAAAAATGATTAATTATAAACTGAGGTCTACAGATATTGAAATGGAAAGATTTAAGCAAATTATGATCAAACAGGGAAGACTAAACAGTGGAGATAAATTTGGTTAACATACTTTTAGGGATTAGTGTTTATATAGATTCTTGGAAGAGACAACTTTATGTATGGAGCCCATTGAAATAATTAAAAACATCTAACTAAAGTCATTATTTGTACTATTATGATCAATGTTCTTTCTTACTGTGAATAAAGAAATGGTAAATTTCCTGAGCCCTATGTTAATTCATGAACAACCAATAAAATCAATTTTATGATTTACTAGAAATATCTCCAAAGTTTTAATTTCAACTATCGCTGTTACTTTAGGGTAAGTGTCAAAGACAAGTCATGTTAACACACAGATTAGTTGTAGGATGAGACTCACTGAAATGGCTCTTAGGAAACTGGGTCTTAGACAATTTAGTTTTCAACAAATTGGCCTATTCCCCTTCAAAGTCCCATACAATGGAGAGTTATGCTGCCAATATGGCCATGAAAGCTCCTTAGAGGAATAAAATGCAAAATAAATAAAACAAAAACTAAACATCCTAGAGAATGATTAAAAGCAAGCATATTTGTGAGTGGAATCAAAGATAGAAAAAAGGGATAGAGAACTAGGTGGGGTTTTTTTTCCTGATATCTGTATCTTTGGTACAGTTCTTATTCATAACCTAAATTGTTTTCCTGATTTCTTTGTATAATTTTTAAATACTGTCTGGTATCTCACTGAGCTGTTTTAGTATCAAAATTTTGAATACTCTGCCTGGGATTGTTGACATTTCTTTTTTATTGGGATCTGTTGCTGGAGAATTATTGTGTCCTTATGTTGATATCTGCATATCTAGTATAACAGTTACTTTTTTAAATTTTTTGAATTTGCTCTCATGGGGAGGACTTTTTCCAGAAGATGTATCTAAGGTGTAGTTTGGGTAGGGTTCTCTGGTTTTGATTCTGGGTGTGTACAATAGTGCAGTCTCTGTATGATTTCTTCATCTGTAAACAGTGTCAGTGGTGTCTGTGATTTCTTTGGTGGCTTAGGATATGGTTGTTAGTGGAGGCTGTGCTGAAGTCTTGCTAAGAACTGAGATGCCAGTTGGGCCAGTCTTCGGCTTCCATTGGTAGAATCAGTGGGATGAGCATGTGTGTCCTTGGGCCCCAGGGCAGCATACACTGGCACCAATGTTAGCGGGTTTAGGCAAGACAGTTCTTGTGCTTCCAAGTGGCTTGCTTGGCTTCTGGGAATGGCATCAGTAGTTCAGGTATGAAGTTGAATTCTTGAGCCCTTTGGCAGTGGATGTGGTGTGGGTGATGGCAGTAGCAGTGGTGGGACAGCCCTCTGGGACCCGTGTAGTCCATGCTGATATTGGCAATGGCTGTGACAGGTTGGGCAGGTCAGTTCCCAGATCCACAGGAGGCACATGAGTGTGGATGTCAGCTGTGGTGCCAGGGGAAGGTTGAGTGGGGCTGACCTCAGATCCCAGGAGGGGTGCTGAGGAGCTACCAGTGATGGACTGGGCTAAGTGACCCTCGGGCCCCTGTACGGTGTGCTCAGATTCTGTGGGTGGGTGAAGCCAGGCTGAGTAGACCTTCCCATGGGCTCCTTGGTGGTGTATGAGGCACTGGCTATGGTAGGCAGGGGCAGGGGGATCCCCAGGCCACAGATGGAATGCTCAGATAGGAGTGGTAGTGGCTGTTTTGTGGTCATGGACTGGGGAGGACTGGGTTGCTTTTCCTGGGAACAACCATAGGCAAGAAACTGGGGAGGCATGGGCTTTGCTCATGCCTCTGCCCCACAGTAGTTCATCATGGCAGCAGTTGCAGGCAGTGAAATTTGTCCTCAGGGCAAGTAAAAATGTGTCGTTGTCCCTCTGGTCGGGGTAACGGGAGGTGGGATTACTCCCTAGGGCTCTTGCCTCGGTCTCAGAAGCAGAGTAAGATGCAGTGCGTTGGGATCTGTGCTGTCAAAATGGTGCCGTGCTGCAGTTAGTTAGGACTTAGGGTTCGTGGGACCCAGTGTGAGGTTCTTTCTTGGGTAGCGCCTTCACGTGGTCTCCAGGCAGCTCCCTATGTTAGTCTCAGGGGCTACGATGGTTGAGGGGATCTCCTGTGGCTAGAATTGTAGGTATCTGTGGTGAAATGTGGGCTGCTGGGAGTCTCCCCCTTTCCCTTTTCCCACATTGGAGAGCCGCTCGAGACTCATATCCGATCTTGGTTGAACAGGCGGTCTCATTTCCTTCTCCTTTGCTTTTGGTGCTTCCTGGTCACTTCTCTGCTGACTTTCGGTGTTCTCTCTTAGATGATCTATTCAACGTGTGATTATTGACTGGTTATTTTGGTTACTTTACATGGAAGGGCCAAGTACCAGATGTATCAAGTCAGCCATGTTGGAGCCTCTCCAGCTCCATTCAAGGGGCCTGTTTTGAGTTGGCCCTAGGCCTTTCCCCGTAAGCAAACTTTCTATAACATTGAAATTACTTGGGAAAAAAAGCTGTCAAAAGACTTTGAGGGTGTTTTGTTTTGTTTTGTTTTGTTTTGTTTTGTTTTGTTTTGTTTTATGGCGTCTCACGCTGTCACCCAGGCTGGAATACAGTGGCAATCTCTGCCTCCCAGGTTCAAGCAATTCTCCTGCCTCAGCCTCCTGAGTAGCTGGGATTACAGGCGTACACCCCCATGCCCAGCTAATTTATGTATTTTTAGTAGAGATGGAGTTTCACCATGCTGGCCAGGCTGGTCTGGAACTCCTGACCTCAAGTGATCCACCTGCCTCGGCCTCCCAAAGTGCCGGGATTACAGGCGTGAGCCACTGCACTCAGCCAACTTGGAGGTATTTTGGGGAAAAAAAAGAAGTAATGATTTTTCC
Source organism: Homo sapiens (assembly GCF_000001405.40). NCBI lineage: Eukaryota > Metazoa > Chordata > Mammalia > Primates > Hominidae > Homo > Homo sapiens. Next base: position 657,849 of record NT_167247.2, read on the forward strand.
TAACTTATGAGATATTAAGACCTACAATAACATCATATTACTTAAATTACAGCTTATTCAATGGAAAAAATAGTAAGTGGAGAAACAAACCATGTATTGAGGGGAACTTGGAATAGTATAAAGATGGCCTCACAAATCGATGAAGAAGGAATGGTTAGTCGGTCTACATAGAGACAACCAGAACCAAGACTAGCTGATTATCTCACAGGATATGTAAATATAACCTCTAGAAGACTAGAGTCCTAAATGACAAATATAAAACTCTAAATCTAATTAACAGAACCAGTTACATAATCTTTAAGTTTCAATGCAAGATAAAAAATGATAAAATTGAAGTGGGGGACATTTTGAAAAAATGGAAATTACATTGCAGTGATCCCTAAAACTAAAGAGCCTTATTTTGAATCCTAGTTTCACAATCCATTGCAAGGAAAAGGAAACTTTACTTAAATCCTTTGAGCCTTGGTTTTCTTGTAGTAAAGGAATAATTTTAATACTTTTACATTGGGTTTTTGTGAGAATTAAATGAGCTAATATATGTGAAGAACTCAGAACAATAACTTATACATAATGAGCATGCAATAAATGTTATTTATTTATAATATATTAGCAGTATATAAAATAAGGAATTATTTGTATGTGGAATGGCTCATACCTATAATCCCAAAATTTTGGGGGGATGATATTGGTGGATTGCTTGAGACCAGGAATTAGAGGCTGCAGTGAGTTATGATTGCATCACTGCACTCCAGCCTGGATGACAGAGCAAGACTCTGACTCAAAACAAGAAAAAAAATTAAAGATTTAAAAAAAAAAACAAAATTAAAAAATTAAAATAAGATATTATTGTGATAAATATATATAATAAACTTTTGCCAAGCAACAAAAATGGAAACTCAATAGAAAGATGGAAAAAATACATCATAGTTACAACTGTTAGTAGAATCCTTGGATTGATGGAAGGTCACGCATAGATACCCTGGTGTAATTCAGACAGAATTTTCTTACCTAAAAAATAGCAAAAAGTAATGCTACACATTGGTAAGACCAAAATCCTTATCCCAAACAGAGAAAAATGTGAGCTTTTGGACCCCAAAATTAATTATTTAAAATAATTTAGTATTATTAGCAACAGTGAAGAGTAAGATGTAGAAGGTACAAAAGTAATACTATTTCTCTTTATGTCTCTTTCTTTGGTTTTCATAGAACCACAGTAGAATATTAAAGATAATCATCTTTCTGTACTGATCAATGGAATGTGGGTGACCATATTTATTAATTTTTATTGCCAATTTTCTTTCACTTTATATACCAAAATATTTTCCAAGGGAGCCCTCAAGAAGAGAAAGTGAATCTGAACCTCTACCATAGGAAATGAAAGGAAATTTGACTAGGAAAAAGTATTTTAAATAAACAAATAAATATTTTAAAAAACAGTATTGTGAAAGGTCAAATAAAATATTGGGTTACTATTTTAAAGAAAAAATCCAGCAAATATATTAAGCTATTGAAAACTGTCTTGTCCATGGTTATGAAACCAAGGAACAAACATATTAAGAAAAAAAGATAAGAAGAACGACAACAACAGAAAAGTGGAATTCTACAGAGAAATTCCATATGGCTATCCCCTTATGCTGCAGGTGCAGAGAGACCTCCTGTTTATTCTCACGACAATCCTTCTCAGCACCCAGGGGACAGTTTCTCTCAGGTTTTTATGTCTAGAGATCTGCAGCTCATTGGAAGGCAGGCAGATTTTCAGAGAGGAAAAGATTTTTGAAGATAATTTATGCTGCAATCCCAACATCAACCATCACTTCAAATATTTTTCTATTTATAATCACTGGGAGTATAAATCTGAAAAGCTCTTTTACCTGTGATTCTGAACTCTCAATCCGGGTGAGAGAATAGAATAGGAGACAGGTTGGGAAGCTGCTCGTATTTTTTATCTGTTAATGAGTGACCTGACTGCTTGCGAGTATTAAAGTTAGATGCCCAGGATTTAGAGCTGGTTTCCTATTTTTATGATGGAGTCTTCATTGTAGTTGTAGATTATGAAAGCATTTTGTTTTCCGCACTTTTATTGCCATATCTCCTTCTCTATTCAACATGCCTGGCTCTCTAGATATTCGCTAAAGCAAATCTGAAATCCCTAAATATTGAAATTGCAGTGAAAGAAATATTTTCGTACAGAGAAGTTGGCTAAACAACATTCTTTAAACGTTAGGAAAATGTTGTTTTATTATTTATTATTTTTTAAATTTTCTTTTTACCAAATAGATTTTTGATACAATTTTATTTTATGGGTCAGAGAACCAAAAATAATATTTTATCTATCATTTGTACTTTTAAAAGACATGGTAAAAGTTTTGAAAAATATGCAACATACATGGCTATCAAATAAAGCTACTTTAAATTGTTTGGAGGCAGTCCTTCATGGAGGTGTGGTAAAGGTTAGATAATCTCTCAAAATTTCCTCTAGCTGTAAAGCCAAATATCCTATGGGCTCCCTAGAGATGTTTCCTAGTTCATTATTTTTTTTAACTTTAGTCACACCAAATCCTTTTCTTCTCTCATCAGCAATTTTTCAACCTCGAATTATTCCCCATTTATAGGAAACACTCTAATGTCTGCATCTTTCTTCTGATTTCCTATTGGTTCTTATTCTTTTCTAAGTGCCTGCCATTTCTATGGATTTCCCACACATTCTTGCTTCTTTTCTCCTAATATGCAAAAGTTAATCCACTACATTTGTACAAGAAAGGAACAAACAGGAAGCTATTTCACAAAATTATGTCTGCTTTTGTCAGTGCACCTATAGAAGATAATCCCAAGTACTTTGCAAATAATGTTAGAAAAAACCTTCAAAATATATTTCTGCCTTTCAGTAAACAGTATAAATTTAGTCAAATATTAAACCTCATTATAATTATCTTACTTATAATCCCTCATGTGTTTTAACAGTTACTGAAAAAATTCTATTATTTCAATTCTGCAAAAGAAAGAAAAATGAATACATTTCTTTCATAGAAAATGGAAATTTTATCTGATGGAAAGAAGGGGCAAATAGAGAAAACACATTTTACAAATGAAAAAGGCTAGAAATGTGTGGCAACTTTGGAGAGAACTGGTATGAAGCCAACAGACCTCTGGGTTGATGGAGGAGAACCTGACTGTCAGTGTCACATTGATGAAACTAGAAGAAAAGAGAAAATTCACTTGGATACAATGTTTCTTCACATCTAAAAAGTGAGCTTATTTCAGGCAAAATAAAAATAAGACTTAAGAAAATGCATCACAAGAGAAGACAGAACTTTCAGTGGTCTAAATTCTTAGATACTTTAGAAGAAGACACTATTGGGTAAAATGAAGGAAGAATTGTTGAGTCTATTGGAAGAGTTTTTCTTATTCAGAGATTCAGGGGTGTGAAAAAGGAAAAAGTCTCAGTGCAACTGGAAACTAAAGGAACAATAACATTTGTCATCAAGTAAGTAATTTGGGATTTACTTTGAAAAAATTTAAAGGCTTAGGTAGAAGAAACTAAGCACATTATCTGATATAGCAGTGATAAAACTTCAAATATACCTCAGGCTAATATTTGATTGATGTATTATTTTTTCCTTTCCCAGTAGAGCTCCATGACATTGCCAGAGATGTGGGTTAGAAAGAGATCAGTAAGAGAACATCTCCAGCCTCATCTACGTTCTAAGATGAGAACAAAATAATTACTACTATTTTAAAGAGGTTTTTATATCTCTTTAAAGACTTTGTGATTATAATGAGTTCATTTTTATCTTCCTCTCTTAAGTCAAAAAATTTCAGGAGCCATTTTCCTGGGTCAAGAGATATCCAAGTGGTGGTGCACTTAAAAACTGCCCCCTATTAACGCTGACTTGGGATAGGAAAGGAAAGTTGTAACAGAATACGGATGTATTCTTCTCAACCAGAGAAGATGTAAGTTAGCAACATGTTCTAAATCCCCAGAAGAAAGAAATACGTTAATGATAAACTTAATTTTAAAAAGTGGTTAAGTCATAGTCCATAATATGCATGAATCCTTAATATTGAAGAGACCAACAGCTAAGCTTCTATACAACTTCTGAGGTTTGGAAGAAGTACAACAGTACTCTCCTTCCAAGTATCTTTGGCTTGGTGAGAAAATTCTGAGCCGGAAGGATTCTGATTGCGATTAGTGTTCCATAGATTATTTTGTCTTTTGTCTGAAGTGATGCTGAATACAACCTCAGTCACCGAATTTCTCCTCTTGGGAGTGACAGACATTCAAGAACTGCAGCCTTTTCTCTTCGTGGTTTTCCTCACCATCTACTTCATCAGTGTGACTGGGAATGGAGCCGTTCTGATGATTGTCATCTCCGATCCTAGACTCCATTCCCTTATGTATTTCTTCCTGGGAAACCTGTCCTACCTGGATATCTGTTACTCTACGGTGACACTGCCAAAAATGCTGCAGAACTTTCTCTCTACACACAAAGCAATTTCTTTCTTGGGATGCATAAGCCAGCTTCATTTCTTCCACTTCCTGGGCAGCACGGAGTCCATGTTGTTCGCCGTGATGGCATTTGACCTCTCTGTGGCTATCTGCAAGCCACTTCGCTACACTGTCATCATGAACCCTCAGCTCTGTACCCAGATGGCCATCACAATCTGGGTCATTGGTTTTTTCCATGCCCTGCTGCACTCCGTAATGACTTCTCGCTTGAACTTCTGTGGTTCCAACCGTATCCATCATTTTCTCTGTGATATTAAGCCATTGCTAAAGCTGGCCTGTGGGAACACTGAGCTTAATCAGTGGCTACTCAGTACTGTCACGGGGACAATTGCCATGGGCCCCTTCTTTCTGACACTTCTCTCCTATTTCTACATTATCACTTATCTCTTCTTCAAGACCCGTTCTTGTAGCATGCTCTGTAAAGCACTGTCCACTTGTGCCTCCCACTTCATGGTAGTTATTCTTTTCTATGCACCTGTTCTTTTCACCTATATCCATCCTGCGTTAGAGAGCTTCATGGACCAGGACCGGATTGTTGCCATCATGTACACTGTGGTCACTCCTGTACTAAACCCACTGATCTATACTTTGAGGAACAAGGAAGTGAAGGGGGCCTTGGGTAGAGTGATCAGAAGGCTTTGATTTGAATAAACCAGAGAACTCTACTGAGGCATAAATAACCAGCAATGAAAAAGTAGAGATGTGTAATTTTACTGCTTCTCAGATGGTTTATAAGTGTAAAATAGAGGCAACTGGATAAAAGAAAAAAAAGTCCAATCTAGTTGTAGTAAACAATACATTTCTAAGTAATATGAGGAATACTTGAAAATGCAAGACACTAGCCATGGAACCCTAATGCTGAAAATTTTTTGGAATATCAGTTGATGTAATTGACTTATTATGTATTCTAACATGTACTTGTATGCAATTGCATGTAGAATTTTGCCTATATTGCCCATGTATTGTATAGATAGATGATATTTAGGACTGTTTGTCTGTGAGATCCTTTTAGTTTAACACATTTTAGTCTGATCAATAAAATTATTATGCTTTTTTATTTTAAGGATTGTCATGTAGGGCTATGTTTATTCAATTGGAAAAGTAAATGCTAACTTGCATATTATTTAAATAAATTTTAAAGAGGTATGTCATGATTTCTTTTCAGTTCGGTTGGTTTTTGTTCTTTTAATGGTGATTCAAAATGCAAAAGACATAGAAAGATGTCAAATGTTTCTCCCCATCTCTGCCCTCCGTCACTGACTTACTCTTCATATACAATCAATTTAATCAGTTGTTATCTGTCCTCACAGAGATCCTTTATGCTACACAGTCAAATACAAATATTTTCTTTAAAAAAGAATGGCAATGAACAATACATGTTATATGAGCAAACCAATGTTGAGGGCAATGTGTATCTTGGAGATCTTTCCCTATTAGAACATAGAGCTTCTTTATTTTTTTAACATGCATGGTATATGCCACTTTGTTCATGTATTATATTTGATAGATCAGTCTCCTATCATTGGACATCTATGTTATTTCCAATCATATGTTGCAGTGTATAATCTTGTGTACACGTCATTCTATATATGTGCAAGTCTATTTGTAGGACAAACTTCCAGACATGGAAATGTTAGGTCAAGAGATATCGTTATTGTAATTCAGATAGATACTGCCAAATTGCCCTCCCCAGAGGTTATAAAAAATTTCATCACCACTTGCAATGTAAAAGTGTTTAGATTTTACACTACATTGAATATGAATAATGCCAATGACTTATTTTGTAGATGCTTCCCTGAAAATATTCTACTTTTACAGCCTGGTTATGTAAAAAATGACATCCTAAAGACACTTTCCATAACATGGAAGTCTGCATAATTCTGCCATTGTTATAGAAAGTTTTCAGACTATTTGAAGCCCAAGCAAGATGGCAACTGGGAGAAAGGAAAAGCTAAGATTACAGCAATTCTTGTCATTGTTAGCTGGCACACAGGCAACATGAAGTGTTTTCCCCTACTTCAGCATAAAATACTTAAAACTTTCCTCTTACTACACCAACAGTTATTCATGTGAAAAATTAATCAATTGTGTTGTTTATTATTTTAATCAAAAAAAGCTCTACAGGTGTTAGATTTATGAAAGTCCTGCACAAAATAAAGGAAAGGTGCCCTAAAAGACCCACCGTTTAACTAAAGAAAATGAATCTCACACAGAGGACATGCTGCAGAGAGAATGAGCTACTGAAACACACTAGAATGTTTCATTTCTTTTATGACACAAAAAGAATAGGAAAGAGTGGAAAAAGGGAACAAACTTTTACTAAAAGTTGACAATTTTATTTTTACATTTTATAATACAAATGAAAAATGCTTTTTACTTGGTCCAGAGAGGCTAATAAGTAATTAAATTGAATGACATTGCAACCACTAATTAAGAGATAAAACAACCAATTGTTCAGCTAAGAGTTCTGGTACCTATATCTTCAGAGATGTTTTAGAAGTCAACTGGCCAGACTTCAAGGATTACTATGAAATACCATTAAAAGTGGAGCTAGGTAAAACAAACAAACAAACAAAAAACACCTCAAGAATCACTTTGTATCTCATTAGAGTGTTATAACCACTCGTATCTCTCCACCCTTGGTCATGAAAGATGATGACTTTAAACACTCTATTATTTTGGTTTCGTTTTCCTTTATCTGTCCTTATTTTGACAGACTGTAATGCATGTAATATGATGAAATACAGGTGAAATACAAAAAATTCATGAAAATTTATTTTTCTTTTCCTTTGGTACCAAACTCATACTAAGTGAAAACAATGAAATCATAACTGTGGAAGTATTTCTGGAGCTAATAGACAAGAATAGGTATGATGTTTCTTAGTTTCTAAGTACTTAGAAATGGATTCTGGCTCTGAAAAGATGTGGTATGCCAACATTTGTAACTATTTAGAGATACAAATAGACAAGACTATGGAAGCTAAGTTGAGCGGGTGGGCTGACTATTCAAAACCTCTGCCTTCACTTTTGCAAACCCAAACGATCTGACCTCTCTCTGGTACTTCTTCTATCTTCCAAGTCAACCTTCTTTGGTCCTTCAGTTCCAGTTTTGTTGATGAGAGAATGCCTGTGTGGAGAAGACACTATCCACCTGAACTATCTCAGACTATCACTTCTGTTGCTCAGAGTTTATTGCATAATCCCATCTACATGGAAGCTGTGAACTGTAGGAAAACACATGGGTTCTAGTTATCTACTGCTGCATAACAAATAGTAGCCTAAATCTAAATGGCTTAATTTATTTAATCAAATCCCAGGATTCTGTGGGTCAGAAATTGGGGAGGGCACAGCAGGAAAGGGTTGACTATGCTCAGTGATATCTGGATCTGCTCTCTCTCTCTCTCTCTCTCTCTCTCTCTTTCTCTCTCTCCAGTTTCTCAGTTGACTGTCATGTGCTTCTTTAACAGGGAAGCCTCGGGACAGACTTTTTCATGGGGGACAGCAAACCAAGACAAAAATTGTTAGTTGTCTCAAAGACAAAAACCAAGAACCAGCATTAACATAACTTCTATCATACTCTATTGGCCAAAGAAATCGCAGGCCAACTGAGCTTCTGTAACCTTCAATGGAAAGAGTGTCAAAAATTGTGTGGACATCCTTAATCTACCACAGTCCCATATCTAACCACTAATAATTCATGTTGTTCCCATATGCAAGGTACACTTACTCCTCTTCCTAATAATCTTAAAATCTCATCCCTTTATAGCATCAGCTCAAAGTCTAGGTTTTTAAAATCCAAATCATGACAAAGTGCAAATGGGGCATATTTAGTATGATTCCTCAAGAATGGTTCCTTTTGACCTGAAGACCTTTGAACTTGAAGAAGTCAGGTTATCTTCCTGTCACACACTCAGCACATAATGATAAAGTAGATATAAGATGACAGTAATAGAAAATGTTACTCCAAAAGAGAAAAAATGGGAGGCACATAACAGTTACATAGCAATTGTGAAACCCATTTGGGGACATTTTTCTCACTCCGTCCTCTAGAGTCTAAGATGATGCAATTGAAACTGATGATACCAATAAAATTCTCTCTCTTCTTCTTCTTCTTTTTTTTTTTTTTTTTTTTTTTTTTTTAACACGGATCTCACTCTGTCACCCAGACTGGAGTACAGTGGGATGGTGCAATCTCGGCTCACTGCAACCTCCACCTCCCAGGTTCAAGTGATTCTCTCAACTGAGCCTCCTAAGTAGTTGGGATTACAGGCATGTGCCACCATGCCCGGCTAAATTTTGTACTTTTAATAGAGACAGGGTTTCCACCGTGTTGCGCAGGCTGGCCTCAAACCCCTGATTTCATGTGATCCACCCACATGAGCCTCCCAAAGTGCTGGGATTACAGATCTGAGTCACTGTGCCTGGCCCACCAATAATATTCCTTTTAAAATATTTTAGGTTCTTAGGATTCTTATTTGGGTTTAGTCAATTAGATAAGTACCACACTCATACATCTCCTTAGGACAGGCCTTTCTCTGACTTGGGCTGACAATTAGTGTACTGTGAGACAACACCCTTGAGATTTCTCTCTGTCTGTCTTCATGCCAGTAGAATACTGTTTTATTTACTGTACCTTTGCAACATCTTGGGAAGTCAAGAAGAGTGATACCATCTGCTTTGCTATTCTTTCTGAAGATCACTTGGGCTATTTGAGGTCTTTCTTGAATAGTTTTTTCCATTTCTGTAAAAAATGCTTTTGGGATTTTGATAGTGATTGCATTGAATTCATAGACAAGTTATGGTAGTGTGGACATTTTACAATTTTAATTCTTCTAAGCCCTGAACATAGGTTATGTTTCTATTTATTTGAGTCTTCTTCAATTCCTTTCATCAATGTTTTTACAGTTGCCAGTGTACAAGTCATTCACTTCCTTGGTTAAGTTTATTGCTAAGCATTTTATTCTTTTTTATGCTATTTTAAATGAAATTGTTTTGGTTCTTCCTTTTCTGATAGCTCAGAAAAGCTAGATTGTTAATGTATAGGAATGCAATTGATTTTGTATGTTAATTTTATATTCAATTTGAATGCCTTCCATTTAATTAAAATAGTATAGTACTGAGATAAAGACAGACATACAAGCCAATAGAACAGAATGGAGAGTCCAGAAATAAATGCACATATATATAGTAAACTGATCTTGGACAAGATTGCTGAGAACACACAATGGAGAAAGAATAGTCCCTTCAATAGATGGTGTAGAATAAACTACATAGAGAAGAATGAAATTGGACCCTATCTCATACTATATACAAAATCAACTCAAAATGGATTAAAGATTTAAATGTAAAACTCCTAGAAGAAAAAGAATAAGGAGATAACTTCTTGATGTTGGTCTTGACAATGATTTTCTAGATTTGAAACAACAAAATAAAAAATAGACAAGCAGGACTATGTAAAGCTAAAAAGCTTCTTCACAACAAAGGAAATGATCAACAGAGTGAAAAGTCATCCTATGAAGCGGGAGAAAATATTTCAAACCATCTATCTGATAGGGGTTAATATCTAAAATACATAATAATCTTCTCAACTCAATAATATATACACACACACACACAACTTAAAATTGACAAAATAATTGAATAGGTATTTCTTTAAAGAAGACATATAAATGGCCAACAAGTATATAAAAACGTACTCAATACCACTAACCATCAGAAAAAGGCAACCATAGTCAGATATCACTTAACATATTTTAGGATGGTTATTATAAAAAAAAAAAGTGTTGGTGTGAATGTGGAGAAACTGGATCCCTTATACACTGAATATAGAAATTGCAGCCACTATGCAAAATGGTATGAAAATTCCTTTAAAAATTAAAAATAAATCTACAATCTGATCCAGCAATTTCTCTTCTGGGTGTATAGCCAAGAGAATTGAAATCAGGGCCTTGAAGAAATATGTGCAACACTCTGTTTATTTTGAAATTTTTTACAGTAGACAAAATACAAAAACAACCCAAGTATTCATTGGCAGATGAATGGATAAAGAAAATGAATATATACATGAATATTATTTAACCTTTAAAAGAAGGAGATCCTGCCAATTATTACAATATGGACAAACCTAGAGGATATCATGATAAGTAAAATAAGACAGTCTCAAAAGGACAAATGTTGCATGGCCATGCTTAAGTCAACCTCATAGAAATACAAAATAGAATGGTGATTGTAAAGGAATATGTAGAGGGGGAGATGGGGAATTGTTTATCAGTGGGTATGGTATAAAGTTCCTGTTATGCAAGATAAATAAGATCTAGAGATCTGCAGTACAACATATTACCTATAACTAGAAAATAGTATTTTGCACTTTAAAATATGTTAACAAGACTATAGATCTCATGATAAGTGCTTTTACAGAAACAAAAACAACACAAAAGAGCATGAGGACATTTTTGGAGGTGGTGGATATGCTTACTACCCTGGTTGTGGTGATGATAGTATGTGTACATATGCCCAAACTCATCACGATGTATACATTAAAGACATATAATTTTTTTATGTCAATTGTACCTCAATAAAGCTAAAATAAGATTTCTGGAAACATTTTTGCCTCTAGCTGGAAATGTTGACAAGGCATGTCCATAAGACTCGTAGTGACCTCTGTGTCTAACATAGAGGGCTTAAGAGGCCTGTCTTAAGATTTTTAGAAACTATTCTAGGCTTCCCCATTATCTTTCTGAGCTTTCAACAATGGGTATTATAGTCACATCCTTGGGATCTTTACCTAAAAACCATACTTCACTAACAGCACCTTGGAATATGATCTTTGCCCTGAAGCCATTTCTTACTTTGAGAAACTTCTACCATCTAGACTATTTAGCACTAATATACAGTTTAATTTTTTGATCCTAGGAAGTCCTGGAATCTAGTTTTCCTCTAAATACTGATTGAAAATTGAATGCCTTGTTTTTTAGTTCATCTTACGTCTGCCCTATTTTGTAATAGTCAGCTAAAAGAATCTGTTGGAACTTTCACTATTTTGATGGTTTTTATGTCAGCTTGACTGAGGATGTCCACACTTTATTTAATTGAGCAGTTTTCTGGATGTGTCAGTGAGGATGTTTTTAGATGAGACTAACATTTGAATTGATAGATTGAGTAAAGCAGATTATCCTCCCTAATGTAGGTGGCCATCATCCAATCAATATTCTGTTGACTCTGTTTCTCAGAAGAACCCTGACTACTACAATCATTCTTCCTAGTAAGCACCTTAGCAACATCTGGGTTCAATAGATATCCTTTCTATCTTCTTTGTTACTGTGGATAGTACATGTCTACTGTACTACATATTACTATAGATAGTGGATGTCTCTCTTGACCGCCAGGCCAACAATTAGAGTTAAATCCCCATAAATTAATTAGGGTTGTGCTAGAGATGTTAAAATAGAAAAGAGATTAAACTGACAGGAGTGCAAATAGTAGTTACAATGTGCCAGCAGGAGTACCATGGGATTGAATTTTGAGTGTGCATGATCAAGGGACTAGAACACTAAACTGGATAAATGAGAATATATTAACTAGGGGACATTGAGTTCTTAGACACGGAATCTGGGGCTTAAGTAAATGTGCTGCTAGTGTGGCTCTTACAAGCACAGGGAAGGCATTGGCCCATGATGATCAAAGTTAAAATTACTGAGTTGCCCTGACAGATGGTATGGAAAGGAATAAAGAGACTCAGGAAAGTGGGGGTATTGGAAGAATATACTATATGTAGGTCAGAAAAGCCACCAGAATATTATGTTCCACAAGAGTACTCAGAGGAGACACACCATTCACAATTCAGAATGCTCTGGCAGAGGCGTTCTGGAATTACTAAGAAATTCAGTGGTGACTCTTTGTAGACCAGGGATAATGGTTACAGAAGTAATCACAGAGTTTGAATTGCTGGAGAAAAGGGGCCTACAGCAATAAAAATATATGGTAGCATTGAACCACTGGAAGCTAGTAGTTGGCAATTGCTGTAATCATCAGTGAGTCAAAAAGGTAGCCAAGTAGTCTTGACCTACAGGAAGCTGTGGTGATGGTTAATATAACATGTGTCCCTAAAGACGAAATTACAGGACAGCTGATGAGGTTGCTGCTTAAAAACTACAATCAAAAGAAGGCAAGAGTAGAGGAACAGGACACTGAGGGTGGTCTCTCTAATAAAATGGCCTAATTTCCTGCTCAGTTCACAGACGCAAGCTAATATTTAGGTGCATAACTTATTACCTGAACATTTAGTCATGTCCTCCAGAAAGAAGTGAACTTCAACATTGTGGTAAGCATTTACTGGAAAGACACCTATAGTTTTTCCCGAGAGGGAGCTAACATTATTTATGCAAATTACTGCACACTGGGAAAGGGGGAATACCCAAATATTTCAAGTACAGTTGTCTGAGTTGACACCGATACTCCAAGAGCCAAAGCATCACCATGGCCCAAATGTTACAATGAGCATACAGAAGCCAGATTACGAATGGAGTCATGTTAAAGTTTAGCTTACAGTACGTCACCCAGTACTGTAGGCACATCCAATAGTCGTTCCCACAGTCACCGGCTATACGATTAGGACTGATATACTTGGCAGTAAGAGAAGCCTCTACATCAGTCCTTGGCC
>NT_167247.2:1721114-1810184 GCF_000001405.40 Homo sapiens
GGCCAGAGGTCCTTTTTTGCGGAGGCCTTTAAAGATATTTATTCAGAAGAATGTACCACATGAGGCATTTGACTAATAAAAACACTGTTATTAACACTGACAATAAGCAAACACATATTTCTTTAGCTGTCTTGCAATTGGTACATTCTCCTCTTCCCATTGAGGAAGTATCTGCTCTACCCTTGCTTCAGATTAAACATTTTGAAACTCTCAGTTTTAACATTATTGAGCCTTACTATTATTGAAATAATTCTTTTCCCAAAACACCAGACTACACTCAAACTCCAGAAGATGCCCCTAACCAAGACTAATATTCTGACATCAAAGGAAATCTGTGGATAAGATATTGGGAACTTCTGAAAAATTTTAGTAGGGCTATGCCTAGAGAATTTTCATGATCTTAACAAATCTTGCTCATTCAGCAAGTCCTTAGAGAGCCTTCATGGGAACCTATGAAAAAGAAAGTCCTCAATGTATTACATGGAAAATAACGATAGCAACAACTATAATAATAATAGTGGCTGCATTTAAAGGGCACTTGCTGTATTCCAGGCATTGGCTTAAGTACCTACATAAGTTATTTTGTTCAGTATTTATCACAACCATATGAAAAAAATGTTCTTATCCACAATAAAGAAATGAAGTTTAGGCTGGGTGTTGTGGCTCACACCTGTAATCCCAGCACTTTGGGAGGCCGAGGAGGGCGGATCACCTGAGGTCAAGAGTTCGAGACAAGCCTGGCTAACATGGTGAAATCCTGTCTCTACTAAAAATACAAAATTAGCTGGGCTTGGTGGCGGGTGCCTGTAATTCCAGCTACTTGGGAGGCTGAGGCGGGAGAAACACTTGAACCCGGGAGGCAGAGGTTGTGGTGAGCTAAGATTGCACCATTGCACTCCAGTCTGGGCAAAGAGAGCAAAACTCTGTCTCAAAAGAAAGAAAGAAGGAAGGAAGGAGGGAGGGAGGGAAGGAAGGAAGGAAGGAAGGAAGGAAGGAAGGAAGGAAGGAAGGAAGGAAGGAAGGAAGGAAGTCAAGAAGTCTACAAAGTATAGGTAACTTGCTCAAGAAAATTAGGTTCAGAAAGTTTAAGTAACTTGCCCAGGGTAACACAATTATGAAGATTTGAGGCCAGAATTCAGTTCCAGGCAGTTTTGTTCTAGATCTATTGCTCTTCAGCCACTATAGTGTCATGCCAAGACTGGCCTAAAGTCGTGTCTTCTGCTCAAACAGGTCCTTCTATGGCAATGACCATGAAATACATGGCTAATAAAGTATTAGGGGCAGGAAGAGGGGGAAGAAGAATGCAGTATTTGAGACTATGGTTACTGACTATATTTAAAATCACAGTTTCATGACTATTAAGGTTCTTTTTAAACTTTTCTCCCTGATGTATCATGGTATCCAGGTGAAAGAGGATCTGGCTCCCTACATCCCAGGACGTGTAGAACTGTCCATGGTTCTGAAAGACAAACTAGCAGGTCCCACCACCTTTACAAATGGCAATCTTACTGTGGAAAACTGCACTAGTGAAAACTCTACATATGACTTTGTACATGCATCACTTACAAGGATTCAGCAATCCTTGGAAAGATGACATAGAAAGACCCACAGAATATTCCCTTTATATGCCCTATACTAAAATGTACAAAGCAAAATCAAATTAGACAACACTATGATTTAGAAGTTTATCTTGAAATTTTAGATCAGAATGTAAAGAAAAGAAATCCAGCATTATTGTATGGACAAGAGAGAATGGATATAGATTTTAACTAACTATATATTCCCTCAAAACTCATATGCTGTCCTTTTTAACCTCACCTTAATTTAAATTTAACCACACATTTACTTTCATTTTTGATTTTTATTTTGTATTTATGTTTTCTTTTATCTTGTATCTTCCAACCAGGATTTCGCCTTTTGCCTGAAGCATATTCTTTAGAACTCCCTTCAGTAAAAGCGTGTTTGTGTCAAATTGTCTTTGCTTGGAAAAAATCCATTGAGACTTGATTTTTATATTATCATGTATTTCATTTCTAAATGTTTTATATTTGTCTTTTCAATTTTTCCTGAACATTATTTGTAGTTTCTGATTAACTGGAAGTCTTTTAAAGCCTGTTTTTTAATCACAGGAAGCAGGGCTATTTTATGTCTTATTCTTATTATTCTGCTGTATGGTGTTTCTGCTTGATCTTTCATGGTGACTTGTATCTTGTAAATAGTTTTGTTGTTGTTTTCCTGGTAAGTGCTCATTTTGCTTATGGAATAATTTTAGGAAATTTTAAGTGTGGTTGATGACATCTTCCTCCAGAGAGGATTTGTGTTTGTTTTGCGTGTTATTTGCGTTTGTTTTTTGACAGGTTCCTTGGAGCCTGGCCCACTATAAACTGAATTCACAACTTGATGATTGCCAGACAATCCAGGTAGTGAGAACTTGGGCTGCAAATACATGTGTGGGGCCATTATGTTTACTCCCAGTTCCACTCAGCACCAAGGCAGCTGTTCCTGCAGTCCTTTGAGCATGGGGCATTTCTCTTACACCGAGGAACTGAACTTAGGGGTCCCAGCAAAATGGAGGAGATCATCCTAGGAGATTTCCCACTTTGAGTGCTACTTGAGACTTGCCTCCTATTCCAAATTCCTTATGAGGCCATGGAAACTAAAGCTTAACTTGTCTACATTGAGCAAATGAGCTCAGGATAAAAGTAAATTCAGAGCTTCCTGATATTTATTAGACAGTTTTCACTGATGTGAAAGCCTCTCAGTGCTTTTATGATGTATTTTATCTTTTGATAACCCATTTTTTGTTAGCATGAGAGTAGGCGTAGATACCTAATATGCCACATTAGTGGTTCACACCTTATCCTTAAAGCTCCTTATCACAAACCTTCCCATCTTGTTCCTTTGAAGTCATTGAATACCTGAGCAAACTATTAGTCACTACCCATGCATTGATGAGGATCTAACAATAAGATATTTCTTTAGGCAAAATGAACTTCCAGATGGTCTGATTGAAAATCTTCCTGCTGGAGGTACTTTCCTTTCCACTCTTCTTTATGACAATTCCTAAAAAGGGCTGTAATGCTGCAAAGTACACTTTTGGGTATTCAAAGCATATTCAAATTTCTTCTTCTATAGTCAACAGTCCTTAGGGAACTCCTCAAGACCCCAAGGATGAGACAAGGGAGAGTGGATTTACCAGTGGTAATAAGAATACTAGGAATATAGTACATATTATGAGGCAACTTAGCTGGCCTTGCTAAGGACCAGCTCAGGTCTGATACTGTATGTATATACAGTATATATATCCACTTCCTCCTGAATGCTCACTGAGTGCTGGTGACCATAAGTGAATAAATAAAATCCAGGTCATGGTGGACATCTCAAGTCACTTGGTCATTTGCTGTATCATGATCATGGCATTCAGAATCTACCAGGGCTCAGTAGCAAGCCAGGAACTGTTATTTAGTAGAAGAATAAAGAATAAAGCTTTTCTTCGAAGCCCTGGAACTTGAGCAGTGAGCTCCTATGCCTGTTTCACACACACACACACACACACACACACACGCGCACACACACACACACGCGCGCACACACACACACACACACACACACACACACACATATCCAAGGAAGCATTTAGGCCAAATGGCAGATATGTTTGATGCCTGCCTGGATCAGAATGACATTTCCATTTCTTATGGAATGTTTTGAACTTGTACTAACTTACCGGATTTTGGTGCAGAGAAATCCCCTCACAAGATAAGAAATCACATTTTTTCTTTGTTGAAATTATTTATCTTCATTAACGTTTAATAACACCGGTGCAGTTATTTTTCAAAGAGCTTGTACTCCAATCTTGGAGGAATTCCTTGAGTTGAAAAGCCCAGGGCCTGAATAATGAGGGAGTCTCATTTCCAACAGCTTCCAATCAGCTGTAGGATTGAATGAAGACACATGTGATTGCATGATTTTAAGAGAGGGTAGGGGAGAGGGGCAGTGCTTGTTTCACACTTAACTGAACTACTTCCTTGGCCTCCACTCAAATTTAACTGCAGCATTGGTGACTTGATTTACAGAGTCAGAAATTTCCTAGGTATGGAATGTGCTGTCTTAAATAGTAATGAGTCCAATCTATGTAGAGTGTCCTTCTTTATCATTGGGGGTCATATGAAGTCAGCGATTCTTTTAGAAATTTGGGGTTACAAACAGAAGGCCTCAACTTACTTCAATTTGAAAAACCTGAACAAGGAATCTCTGGTGTCTGGATCCTTATTTGTCTCACAAAATTGAATTGTGAGCTGTGACATTTTCTCCCAAAAGTCTCTTTTAGGACAGAACTTCTGGTAATGGCAACATGAACAGGTAGATCAGCAAGTCTTCCTCTAAATAGCAATATGAGAACTGGACAAAATCATAAAAATAAATATTTGAAGTCACTGGAAAACAAACAAAGGCGAGCAGAAATGTAATAGTGCTTTGATCTTGAGACTATCTATTGGGTAAAAGCTGCAAGTTGGTGGCCTTTCCTCCTTACCTATGAGTTTGCTCCAAACTCCCAGCAGGTAACTGCAGCCCTAATGGATCAATAGGGCAGTTTATAGAGTTAAAAGCCCAAATAAGCTAAAAATGTTTACATTTTTACATGTTTACATCAGTCAGGCAATTTTGAAAGAGATCTGCTGAAGAATTCAGATTCAAAATCTGAATACAAACTATGCTCACATCCCTGGTTGAACACTAAACTCCCCATGGGTGTGGGACACTCAGGGGAACCTGGGGAAAAATCAGAAAGAACCTAGAGTGAGGTCTACCCTTGAAAGAGTGAAATAATCCTGGCAATATCTGAAAGTCTGCAGTAACATAGACTGCTTGCATTTGTCAACCTGCATACAACACAGGCAGAAGAAAGCAAAAATCTTACTGGACTGAGGGGTGAAAAGGCAGGATGCAGGACAATTTAGAGGGGATTCCAGAAGCAAAACAAACACAGAGAAGCTGAATTGCAAAATCTTAGCAGAAATAGCCCCAGTACTTGTTAGTCCATGTTGTGTTGCTATAAATACCTGAGAGTGGGTAATTTATAAAGAAAAGAGGTTTATTTGGCTCATGGCTATATAGGTTGTACAAACATGGCACCAGCATCTCTTCAGCTTCTGGTGAGACCTCAGGAGCCTTTTACTCCTGGTGGAAGGGGAAGGGGGACCAGGCATGTCACATGGCAAAAGAGGAACAGGGTGGGAGGAGCCAGATTCTTCTAAACAACCAACTCTCTTTCAAAATAATAGAGCAGGGGCCGGATGTGGTGGCTCATGCCTGTAATCCCAGCACTTTGGGAGGCCGAGGCGGGTGGATCACGAGGTCAGGAGTTCGAGACCAGCCTGGCCAATATGGTGAAACCCCATCCTTACTAAAAATACAAAAATTAGCTTGGCATGGTGGCATGTGCCTGTAGTCCCAGCTACTCAGGAGGCTGAGGCAGAAGAATCACTTGAACCCAGGAGGTGGAGGTTGCAGTGAGCCAAGATCGCACCACTGCTCTCCAGGCTGGGCAACAGAGCGAGACTCTGTCTCAAAATAATAATAATAATAATAATAATAATAATAATAAAGCGAAGAGAACTTACTTATGACTGTGGGGAGGGCACCAAGCCATTCATGAGGGATCTACCCCCATGACCCAAACAGCTTCCACTAGGCCCCACCTGCAGCATTGGGGATTACATTTCAACATGAGGTTTGGCAGGGACAAATATTACAAAGATGCAGAGTAGACACCCAGAGCCCCCTGCTGAAAATGCAGCAACTGGATATCGGTAAACAGAGCAGAGACATCAGCTGTAGCCAACTGCAGGGGTAACAGATTTCACAGTTACCAGTGCAGGGAAAGTTAACCACGTTCACTGAGGGGCAGGGGTGGTGGTGGTGGGAGAATTGCCATCTTTAGAGAGATTGTTGTAGATTCCAGACTCTCTAAAACAAAACATATAATGTCCACTTTATCAAATAGGATCAGACATAGAAAGAAAAGAAAGAAATGTGTGACTATAATAAGGAGGAAATTAAAAATAAATGGGTTTCAATGGGTCCAGATATTGAAATTATCAGCAAACTCTTTAAGACAGTTTTGAAAAATATGTGGAAAGAAATGAAGGAAATATCATTTCTAAAGAGTGAATAGAAGTAATTGCAGCAGAGAAATGAAAACTATAGATGGTACTAAGTGGAAATTCTCAAACTGGATAGAAAAATAATGACAGTGCTCTGGATGAGGTCAACAGAAGTTTTGAGATGGCAGAATAAAGAATCAGTCAGTGTCCTTGAATATAAATCAACAGAAATTGTCTAATCTAAAAATAAAAAAGAGTGAAATAAGATTAAAGAAAAGTGAAGAAAACTTCACAAACCCTCAGAAAATATAAAGCAGGTAAACAGGTGACCAATTGGAGTCCCAAAAGAAGATAGACACAGGATCAGAAAAAAAATTCAAAAAAATCTATGGCTGAAAGATTCCCAAATTTGATGAAGAATTTTAGCTTATAGATGTAAGACACTCATCAAAGCTGAATACCCACATAGAAAATCATAGGTAGAGTGGCCATGGCCTTGGCTGGCCTGAGGGTGTGTCGCTAGCCCTGCTGCATGTGGTGTGGTGCAGGGTGCCAGTGCCTGGTGGGACCAGAGAGCTCCCAGCACAGCCTTTGGGCAGGTGGGACCGCCGATCATTTTAAAATAATTTTTTATTGATTTAACTTATATTTTGAGTTCAGGCATACATGTGCAGGTTTATTATATAGGTAAACTTGTATCATGGGGTTTGCTGTACAGATTATTTTGTTACCTAGGCATTAAGCCTAGTACCTATTAGTTACTTTTCCTGATCCTCTCCCTCCTCCCAGCCTCCACTCTCTGGTAGGCCCCAGTGTGTGCAGTTCCCTTCTATATGTCCATGTGTTCTCATCATTTAGCTCCCACTTATAAGTGAGAACATGTGGTATTCGGTTTTCTTTTCCCGCATTAATTTGCTAAGGATAATGGCCTCCAGCTCCATCCATGTTCCGCAAAGGACAAGAACTCATTCTTTTTTATGGCCACATAGTATTCCATGATGTATATGCACTACATTTTCTTAAAAGAGAGCAGGAGTGGCTATTCTTATACAAAACAAAAACAGACTTTAAAGCAACAACAGTAAAAAAAAAAAAAAAGACAAAGAAGGACATTATATAATGATAGAATGATAATTCCAACAAGAAGATATCACAGTCCTAAATTTATATGCACCTAACAGTGGAGCTCCCAGCTTTATAAAACAGTTACTACTAGACTTAAGAAATGAGATAGACAGCAAGACAATAATAGCAGGGGACATCAATACTCCACTGATAGCTCTAGACAGATCATCAAGACACAAAGTCAACAAAGAAACAATGATCTTAAACCATATCCTACAACAAATGGACTTAACAGATATTTACAGAACATTTCTTCCCAGTAACTGTAGAATATACATTCTTCTCATCAGCACATGGAACATTCTCCAAGATAGACCATATGATAGACCTCAACACAAGTCTAAACAAATTTAAGAAAACTGAAATCCTATAAAGTATCTTCACAGACCAGAGTGGAATAAAACTGGAAATCAACTCCAAAATGAAACTTAAAAACTGTATGAGTACATGGAAATTAAATAACCTATTCTTGGATGATTTTTCAGTTAACAATGAAATCAAGATGGAAATTTAAAAATTCTCTGAAATGAATGATAATAGTGTCACAAGTAATCAAAATCTCTGGGATATAGCCAAAGCAGTGAAAATAAGAAAGTTCATAGCAATAAGTGCTGACTTAAAAAAGCCTGAAAGAGCCCGGGCACAGTGGCTTATGCCTGTAATCCCAGCACTTTGAGAGGCTGAGGCAGGTGGATCAGTTAAGGTCAGGGGTTTGAGACCAGCCTGACCAACATGGTGAAACCTTGTCTCTACTAAAAATACAAAAATTAGCTAGGCGTGGTGGCACGCGCCTTTAATCCCAGCTACTCAGGAGGCTGAGGAAGGAGAATCACTTGAATCCAGGAGGTCGAGGTTGCAGTGAGCTGAGATTGCGCCACTGCACTCCAGCCTGGGCAACAGAGTGAGACTTCATCTGGGAAGGAAAAAAAAAATCTGAATAAGCACAAATTGAAAACCTAATGTCACACCTCAAGGAACTGGAGAGATAAAAACAAATGAAACCCAAAGCCAGCATAAAAAAGAAATAATAAAGATCAGAGCAGAAATAAATGAAACTGAAACAAAAATAATACAAGAGATAAATGAAAAAAAAGTTGGGTCTTTGAAAAGGTAAACAAAATCAATAGACCATTGGTGAGGTTAACCAAGAAAAGGAGAGAAGATCCAAATAAGCTCAATTAGAAAACAAACTGGAGATATTACAACTAATACCACAGAAACACAAAAGTTAATTCAAGGCTACTATGAACACCTTTACACACACCAGCTAGAAAATCTAAAAACTGATAAATTCCTGGAAACATACAACCCTCCTAGACTAAATCAGGAAGAAATAGAAATCATGAGCAGACCAATAACAAGCAGTGAGACTGAAACAGTAATAAAAAAAACTGTCAACAAAAAAAAGCCTAGGACCAGATGGGTTCCCAGACAAATTCCATTAGACATTCAAAAAATTGGTACCAATCCTACTGAAACTATTCCAAAAGATAGAGAAAAAGGGAATCCTCCCTAAATCATTCTATGAAGACAGTATCACCCTAATGCCAAAAGTAGGAAAGGACATAACAAAAAAGAAAAATACAGACAAATATCCCCAATGAACATACATGCAAAAATGTTCAACACAATACTAGCTAACCAAATCCAGTAGCCTATCAAAAAAATAATACACCATGTTGAAGTGGGTTTCATCCCAGGGATGCAGAGATGGTTTAACATATGCAAGTCAATAAATGTGATACACCACATAAACAGAATTAAAAACAACAATCATATGATTATCTCAATAGATGCAGAAAAAGCATTTGATAAAATCTAGCATTGCTTTATGATAAAAACCTTCAACAAAATAGGCATAGAAGGGACTTACCTCAAAGTCATGAAAGTCATATATGACAAACTCACAGCCAACATCATAGTGAATGGGGAAAAGTTGAAAGCATTCCTCCAAGGACTGAAACAAGGCAAGGATGCCCACGTGCACCACTTCTATTCAACACAGTATTGCAAGTTCTAGCCAGAGCAATCAAGCAAGAGAAAGAAATAATGGGCATCCAAATTAGAAAAGAGGAAGTCAAACTGTCCCTGTTCACTGATGATATGATCGTATACCTAGAAAATACTAAGACTCATCCAAAAGACCCATAGATCTGATAAACAAATTTAGTAAAGTCTCAGGTCACAAAATCAATGTACACAAATCAGGAGCATTGCTATACACCAACAACGACCAAGTGAGAATCAAATCAAGAACTCAATCCCTTTTACAACAGCTGCAAAAACAAACAACAACAACAACAACAAAAACCTCCAAAAAAACAACACCCCCCAAAACCTAGGAATATACTTAACCAAGGAGGTGAAAGATCTCTGCAAGGAAAACTAAAAAACACTGCTGAAAGAAATCATAGATGACACAAACACATGGAAACACATCCCATGCTCATAGATGAATAGAATCAATATTGTGAAAATGACCATACTGCCCAAAGCAATCTATAGATTCAGTGCAATTTTCATCAAAATACCATCATCATTCTTCACAGAACTGGAGCAAACAACCCCAAAATTCATGTGGAACCAAAAAAGAGCCCACGTATCCAAAGCAATACTAAGCAAAAATAACAAATCTGGAAGCGACCCATTAACAGACTTCAAGTTACACTACGAGGCTATCGTTACCAAAACAGCATCATACTGGTATAAAATAGGCACTTCAGCTGGGCACGGTGGCTCACGCCTGTAATCCCAGCACTTCGGGAGGTAGAGGCAGACAAATCACCTGAGGTCAAGAGTTCGAGACTAGCCTAGCCAACATGATAAAACACCATCTCTACTAAAAATACAAAAAAAATTATCTGGGCGTGGTGGTGGGCACCTGTAATCCCAGCTATTTAGGAGGCTGAGGCAGGAGAATCACTTGAACCTGGGAGGCAGAGGTTGCAATGAGCTGAGATCGTGCCATTGCACTCCAGTCTGGGCAACAAGAGTGAAACTCCATCTCAAAATAAGATAAAATAAAAAATAGGCGCTTAGACCAATGGAATGGAATAGACAATCCAGAAATAAAGCCAGATGCCAACAGCTAACTGATCTTTGACAAAGCATACAAAAACATAAATTGGGAAAAGCACATCCTATTCAATAGAGAGTGCTGGGAAAACTGGCAAGCCACATATAGAATGAAACTGTATCTCCATCTCTCACTTTATATAAATGTCAACTCAAAATGGATCAAAGACTTAAACCTAAAACCTAAAACCTAAAACCATAAAAATCTTAGAAGATAACATGATAACATTAAAAAACTCTTCTGGACATTGGCTTAGGCAAAAAATTCATGACTAAGACCCCGAAAACAAACACAACAAAAATAAAAATAAATAAATGAGACCTGGTTGAATGATAAAGCTTCTACACAGCAAAAGAAATAATCAGCAGAGTAAACAGACAACCCACACAGTAGGGGAAAATATTCACAGACTATACATCCAACAAAGGACTAATATCCAGAATCTACAAGGAACGCAAAGAAATCAGCAAGAAAAAAACAAATAATCCCATCAAAAACTGGGCAAAGGACATGAATTGACAGTTCTCAAAAGAAGATATACAAATAGCCAACAATCATGAAAAATTGCTCAAGATAACTAATCATCAGGGAAATGCAAATTATAAGTACAAGATACCACCTTACTCCTGCAAAAATTAAAAAATTTTTAAAAACCACAGTAGATGTTTGTGTGGATGTGGTGAAAAGGGAACACTTTTGCACTGCTGGTGGGAATGTAGATTAGTAAAACCACTTTGGAAAGCAGTATGGACATTATTTAAAGAACTGCAAGTAGATCTACCATTCAATCCAGCAATCCCACTGCTGGATATCTACCCAAAGGAAGTCATTATATGAAAACGACACATGCACGTGCATGTTTACAGCAGCACACTTCACGATTGCAATGACATGAAAACAAAGTAAGTGTCCATCGACCAACAAGTGGACAAAGAAAATGTGGTATATGTACACCATGGAGTATTACTTAGCCATAACAAGGAACAAAATAATGTGTTTTGCAACAACCTAGATGGAGATGGAGGCCATTATTCTAAGTGAGGTAACTCAGGAATGGAAAACCAAATACTGTATGTTCTCACTTATAAGTGGGAGCTAAGCTAGGAGGATGCAAAGACATATAGAGCGATATAATGGACTTTGGGGACTCAAGGGACAGGCTGAGAGGGGAGTGAGATAAAAGACTACATATTGGGTACAGTGTATATTGCTTGGGTGACAGGTGCACTAAAGTCTCAGAATTCACCACTAAAGAACTCATCCATTAAACCAAAACCCACCTGTACCCCAAAAAACTATTGAAATAAAATAAAACTTCATAGGGCAAACAACAACAAAAACAACAACAACAAAGAAAATAAATAAATCATACAAAAAATATTTAAGATCTCTGAAATCCAAGACACTAGAAATCAAGAGACACTGTGGAAAGAGTACATAGAAGACCTAAATAAATAGATCCCCTGTTCATGGGGAGCAAGATTTAACATTGTTAAAATGCAACACTCCCCAAATTAACCCAGAGATTTAAAAAAAAACTAACAAAATTCTAGGAGGCTTTTTGATAGAAATTTATGAGCTGATTTACAAATTTATATGAAAACATAAAAGGTCTAGAATAACTCATGCAATTTATTTTTTAAAAATTTTAGAGAAAGAGTCTTTCTATATTACCCCATGTTGGCTTCTAACTTCTGGGCTCAAGGGATCCATCCACCTCAGCCCCCAGGTAGCTGAGACTACAGTCATGCACTACCATGTGCAGCTAATTTTTCATTTTTTTTCAGGACAAGTTTTGCTATGTTGTCCGGGTTAGTCTTGAACTCCTGGGCTCAAGGTGTCCTCCCATCTCAGTCTCTTGAGTAGCTGAGACTACAGGCATGTTATCATAGTCAGTACAATTTAAGTAATTTCTAAAAAGATGAACAAAGTTATAGGAGTTATTTTGACTAAAAAAGCTGAGATAATTTATTATGTTAATAAATATTCTTGTACAATTACACCTATTAATTACTTTTAAAATTTCTGCTTCACATCTCTGCAACCTTGGGCTTAGTGGATTTCCCAGGAAAGAAATGCTTCCACCAAATAAGAACCTCAGCTGGCCATTTTATATTTCCATAAAATATAGTGGTATGAGGGTTCTAATTTCTGCTTATCTTTCCTAACATTTATTTTCATTTTAAAAAAATTATTATTATAGCCATATTATTGTGGTTTAATTTGCATTTCTTTAATGGCTAATGATGTTGAGTATCTTTTCCTGTGTATATTGGCGGTTTATGTATCTTCTTTGAAGAAATGACTTTTCAATTTCTTTGCCCATTTTGTAATGGGATTATTTGTCATTTTGTTATTGATGTTTAAAGGGTTCTTTGTGTATCCAAACACTTGACCCATATGAGATATGTAATAGGCAAATATTTTCTGCCATTGTATGGATTGCCTTTTCACTGTATTGATAGTGTTCTCTGATGCATAAAAGTTTTGGTTTGATGAAGTTCAATTTATCTATTCGACTCTATAACCATACCCAGGGCAGGATCAGGAAAACAAGGACAGGAGACGTGCAGGGGCTGGACCACCTTCCCTCTTGGGTGACTGGAGGTCTGTCCTCAGCAGTCTTTCCCTTCTGACCTATGACTTCTGGGAATCGGGTCCCCATCTCTAGAATCATCAAGGTGATGACTGGTCCTTTATTTTCACAAGTGCTTTACGTTACAGAAATTTCAGCAAGCAGGGACTATGACTGGGTAAGCATGAGTGTTTGTGTTTTGTGTGTGTGTGTCTGTGTGTGTGGTGGGGGGCGGGGTATGTGGGGTACATTTTATTATCAATGCAGAATGGAACATGACAATGCAGATCCCAGTCCTTACATACCAGAGCTCTTCTTCCGCTTCATCGCAAGTGTAGCCACCACAGCTCAAGTAACCACATCTCCAATGAAATTTGATAGTGCATACCAGAGTATCTTAGTTTTTAATCTCCCTAAAAGTATACCATGTCACTCATAGATTGAATATATCAAAGTTGTCTTCATATGGAAGCCATGAATTTGTCTATATGGGTCTCAGACATATCATTGAAATATAGCATGCCCAAGAAAGTTTAATTAATGTGTATTTGAACAACTACAGTGTATAGACATCAACCAAAATATGAATTATCAGTTCATAGTATCAAGTCTTCATAAATGCACATCACTGTTGCCAATCCATGTCTATATTTCACTGGAAATCTGGCATAATATTTTCTTTACTTTGGTGAATGTAAGAAGGCAAATAAGTCTTGAGTACTCATCCTAAGTTGTATTTATTGGATACCACATATATTAAGTACCCTACAGACCCAGTAGACACATTTCAAAAATTATAAAATAATTAAACCTTACAATCCCATCGCATTAGTAATCTTTACTTTTCCACAACTTGAAACAATTCTATGTCCTTCAACTCTCGGACCCCTTTCCTCATCGTCTCTTCCTAGGTCAAATATGTATGAAGTTTTCACAACTCTGGAGTGCAGATGTTCTAAGCATGACCAAAATGTGAAAAGTGATGAAGAATGATGATAATCATTTTGACTACTTACAAATTAAAAAAAATCTCTTTGGCATCCACAAACACAGAAATGTACAAACACTTTCCCATAATCAACCTCAAAGACATGTAAACAGTTGATGGACAAAATAGTAACAATGTGTTAATACCCTTCAGCCCAAGGCCACCTGGAGCACATCTGTGGGTGAAGAAGTTGGGTTTATTACTCACTGCAGTGGGAGGGAGAATGCACACCTTGGATAACTACCGAGTATCTTGGTAAGTGCCTTTTAGATAGAGCCTATTATAATATTTGGGCTTCAGCTGGTATTTCAAGTTTCCCTGGGATTTAATTAATTAGTAGTTATGACTGAATGATGACACAGAGAGGTCTATGCCACTGAAAAAAGAGTTTATTACCCACTGACATAGGAAGCACAGCACAACAGGCAGCACCAAGGCTGGTCAAGTGGCAACGGGAGGGGAAAGCATGGGCGAGAGCCTCTAATGTGGTTTTTAGGGGAATGAATGAGCAAGGCAGGGTAAGCAGTGTAGACATGTTCAGTATTGATGAGTCTGAATAATCTTGGTGACTCTGAGGCATGGGGATTGTCTCTAGTTGTCTGATACCTGTCTCTCAGATTATTAAGACAGGAGAATATTGACTGGGAGTATCGGGGCCATGTGACAGCCAGAAAAAAAGAACTCATTCTGAGTTTGGGCTCTGGTTTGGTTAGTTTGCATAAGAAAGGCGCATTTGCGGTCAATCCCTTTAGTATCTGTAGGAATAGACTAGTCTTGGGAGGGGAGTCCTCACAATCAGTGAGGACTCAGATGCCAGAGCATGAGAATAAGGAAAAAAAGAAAATACAGATAACACAGTTGAGAAATTCTATTTTATTTTATTGCTCTAGATTTAGTACTGTCAGTAAGCAGAGGCAATTCTACAATTCGGTATTTCAATAAATCTTACCTTTAGGGAGGGTGGACTAGAGTGCAGATAAAGCTTAATCCGTAGAGAAGCATCAGCCACTCATACTAGCCGGGAGAGGGTTTAGACAAAATTATGAAGTACTTTTGTTTCGCCTCACTTTCTCATGGGCTGAGAGTGATCCAGTGTGGTGTTGGTATTTTGTGATATAATTTATGTCCCAGAGGGACTAATATGGCCCAGTAGTGAAGACCAGACCAGCTCCTGGCAACACTGATGCCCAGCTGTGCCAGACAAGTTCCCAGATATTAGGGGCTGCTTTTTCTTGATTAAATTCAATATTTAAAAATATCAGCATTACGTTTGAGAAATGATTAAGAAATGTCATATAGTTATATTAGTAATAAATATGTGCAAAAAATAAGAATGTAGACTACAAAATGGGAACCAGAATTAAAATCCATCAGCTTGGCAAAGACAGAAGTAAATGATGGTAGTATTGATCAGAGTACAGGGAAAATGTACTGTTACGAAGACTGATGGCATTGAAAAGTGGTACAAAACTTCTAAAGGGCACTTTTGCAAAATGTCTCAATAATTTAAATGTTCTGACGTTTTTGAGACAGAGTCTTGCTCTGTCGCCCAGGCTGGAGTGCAGTGGCACAATCTTGACTTATTGAAGCCTCCACCTCCTGGGTTCAAGCGATTCTCCTGCCTCAGCCTCCCGCGTAGCTGGGACTACAGGTGCGTGCCACCACGCCCAGCTAATTTTTGTAATTTTAGTAGAAATGGGGTTTCACCATGATGGCCAGGCTCATCTCAAATCCTTGACCTCAAGTGATCCACCCGCCTTGGTCTCCCAAAGTGCTGGGATTACAGGGGTGAGGGACTGCGCCGGGCCTAAGTGTTCTGACATTTTGACATGAAAATTTCTCTTTTAGGAATTTATCCCAAGGAAATAATTACATATCTTTCTAAAAACGCATATATAGGCCGGGCGCGGTGGCTCATGCCTGTAATCCCAGCACTTTGGGAGGCCGAGGCAGGTGGATTACGAGGTCAGGAGTTCAAGATCAGCCTGGCCAACATGGTGAAACCCCGTCTCTACTAAAAACTACAAAAATTAGCCGAGCGTGGTGGCAGACACCTGTGGTTCCGGCTACTCGGGAGGCTGAGGCAGAAGAATTGCTTGAACCCGGGAGGTGGAGGTTGCAGTGAGCTGCGATCATGTCACTGCACTTCAGCCTGGGTGACAGGTCGAGACTCTGTCCCAAAACAAAAACAAAAAAACCACATATATAAGAATGTTCCTTGAATTGTGGTTTATAAAAGCAAAATAATGGAAATAACCCAAAGATTGTAATGAATATAGTGATGATAGTTATCAATAATGGAGCATTTAGTATGACTCAGAAAATAATGCCATGGCTTTACATAGAGAGTCAGATTTAATCCTCAATGCAAACCCATGGGGAACTCAATATGTGATCCTTTGTACAGACAGGGAAGGAGAGAGGTAAAGAAGGTGGTGGGGCTAGGGTTGAACCCTGGAGATTTTCTCTCAGAGGCCTTGTTGACTTGTCTTCCATTGATTCTCTCTTCATCTGCACCTTACACAAGTGAACTGTTTTGATGTCCCAGAATGTTCTATGGACAGGAGGCCACTGGCTCAGAGCTCAGGAAGACAAGAAGGGCAATGACTTAACTGCCAAATTCACGCAGAAGTCCGTTCATCCAGGGTGTATTTCCAGTGATCAGGAGATCTGCTAAGCACTTGAGGATATAATGAAGAGCAAGAGTAAAATCTTGGAGATGGGGAGTTTTCAATATTGTAAGGAAGATAAATATTTAGCAAAAATTGCCCCAAGATTGTGAAATTGCTAATGAGCGTAAGGGAAAAGTTTGTGATATCATGAAAGCAGGTTACAAGGAGACCTAATGGGTCCCTACCACTATTACCAATTATGTGTGAAAGATGTAAGAAAACAGCAGTTATGAGATTTGAACAAATTTATAAACAATTTCATGCAGAGAACTAGAAAGAGCTCTGGAATTTTAAAATATGATCATTGAAATAAAGAGTTTAAAAAATGAACTGAAATGAAAGTTGTGTGCTGCAAGGTAGTACAAAATAAAAACGTGATGCCAAGCATGATAGAACTTTAAGAATATTATACTATCAATTAAGGAATTCCAGCAGTCTCATAATATAAGTTCCAATAACCATAGAAAGTAATTAAAAGTAATTCAAGAAAATGTTTTGAAGGCTACTGACAAAAATGTATAGTGTGAATGGCTGCAACAAAGTTCTCAATACAGGAGATGGAAACAGACCCACACCAAGACTCATGACAACAAAATTTCAGAGAGTGAAAGACAGAGCAAGACCAATGGACAAAGGAATGGCAGGAGGTCTGGTCGTGTGTGTGCATTTCCTCCTTCCCGTCTGTCATTGTCCTTCCTCACCAGGCCTGCAGATCACCTGTGATGACTTGGCCTCTTGCCATCCCTAGCTGGGCAAACTCCATCATGGTGACACACGGGATGGCAGAAGTGCAAGGCCTCGTTTCTGCTGGATGAGCCTTCTGGAGACTGTCTCAGGGTTTTCTGAGAACTTCTTTAAAACCTGGTCTACGGGCATGCATTACCCCAGTTATTTTTTCCCTAAGTGAAAAATCAACCAGAGGAGATGATTTATTTTAATAGCCTTATTGCAGGAGAGGAAGGTGAAAAGTGTTTCTATTCATTGGCCCATTAGTTACAATGGGCAGAGGCCACTGAGCGAGCAGCGGGTGGTGGCAGTGATGACCACACGTTCTCACGGCAGCGCAACACTTTTGAGACAAGTTCCCACCTCTCCATTAAACATGTCTTCTCCACGTGCAGAAAATGTGGTCTCGTAGCTTCCCTTCTCAGTGCTGGATTGCTGGCATTTCATTTTCCTTATCAGAGACATGAATATCTTTGTTCTTCTTGGATTTCTAAGACTTCAGGTTTTCTTCAGGGAGAAGCTGCTTAGGGAGGCTCCTGCGTGGACCGAGTCCTTCCTGAGGGTTTGCTTGGTGCCCTAACTGTGGCTGACTGCCTCCCGCGGGGTCCCAACTTTATACCCAGAGGTAAGGACAGATGCTTCCAGCTCCATCTTATAACTTCCACATGAAATTTGAGGTCAGGAACTTCTCTTAACTCGTCTTAAAGGGCCTCATACTTACATTCTTGACTCGGAAAATAATTAAGTGTGCGTTTGAACATGTTTCCTCCGCAATTTACTCTCTGGAGGGGAATACATTGAAAACCCAGTTTATTTTCAGATACTGAGTGGGATTGAAAAGCTGAATTGTCTGTTTTCCTGCAGGGCACACAGAGGAACTGGCTGTCCCACACCACTCTGACATTTCCAGAGAAGCACCGTCCTCTTCCAGTAGGACATGAGTAAGACCAGTGAGGAGCCAACATGCAGCCCCTGGGCATCTCTGGGGTTGAAGGAAAGATATATATGTCCTTCTGATGTGTGGAGCCCTGAGGGCAGTGTTCAAGACCCTGCATTTTCCGAAGTACTTGTTTACTGAGCAAGTGTTTCTGCTTGTTGCATTATGTCAGGGGATATGGAAGCCACTTTTCATCCAGCCAAACACAGATGCAAATGAGATGTTCTGGGAGAAAGCAGAAAAAGCCCTTTTCACAGAGTTCCTTATTTTACTATTCTATTACACTTGTCTGAGGTTACAATCACATCCTTTTTTAACAATCTCTAAATGAGAAAATCATCAAAAGGGTATGTAGTGAGTGACAGACACAGGATAAATGCTGTAAGTCAGTGTTTGATGAAAGATACTGGTGTTCCAGGATGTCAGAGTCTCCTGGGTGCCAGTAGGGAGGTGGTCAGGGACTTTATCCAAGAAGCAGAAAGAAGAGCTTCAGGGACATGAGGATGTCTCATAGCCAAGGACAGGACAGTAAAGGGCCCCGTGTGAGTGCATCACAGAGGTCTGTTACTGTTCAGACCCCAAAGCTCAGCACCCAGTGTGGCATGTGGCAAGACCTCAGCAAACACATCAGTTGGCTGGATGAAGGAGGGCAGGTGTGAGCCGACAAGGAAAATCTTGTGATTTTTGTTGGGAAATGAATGTAAAAGTGTTGATGTACCTCCCTTGTAAGGAGATAGAAAGGTAGAGAGCAGACAGATGCATGCATGGATGAATGCATGGATGGATGGATGGTTGGATGGACGGATGGATGTTCATTTTCTGTGTGTGTTTCTATCTCTGTTCTGCCTTTCTGTTTTGTCTCTGGCTCTGTCTGTATCTGCCATTGTCCCTTCACAACCATGCCTTCACTATTATCAGTAACATCTTTTACCTGGTCTTATAGGATCTTGCCTGTGTTGTATTAGTGGTCAAGGACAGAAAAAAGAAAGAAGTCTGTGGAAAACAAAATAAAGGAAACAGATGCTTCTGACATGCGGCAGTGGAAGGATGTGTGGACCTGAGGCCCCCAGGGAGACAGGGGCTGCGCCTCACTGCAAAGTCGATCCTGCTGAACACAGAGGGGAAACGCGCTCAGACAGCCCTGCCCGTGCTGATCAGAAGGGAGGGTTGCGCCTCCAGATCCTTCTCCCTGTGTTTCTTCAGGGCCCAGCCCTGAGAGTTCCAGGGTCCCATTTTCTTAGTTAGGACCTTAAGACCCTATCAGAGTCCAGCCCCAGGAAGCCTGCAGTCATAGCACTGGGCTAGACCAAGTTGCTGCTATGAAAAGGGATTTGAAAATTCCCAGAGGAGCCTTTCAGCCTCTTTCCATGGCTCTTTATGCCCTTTCAAAGGCACAGCCAGAGACATCAGAAATGAAATTGTATATAATTATATGGACTTTTCGACAATCATTGAAATTTCTGTAAGTGCCAGTTATATTTTGGCAACCCCATCAAAGCCAGGTGTGCCCAGGGCAGTCAGCTCAGGCCCTGGCCTCTCATTCAGGTTGGATTCTATAAGAACCGCATTCGCGGTGAGAATTCTAGAGCCAGATCTTGCTGCTCCACAATTGCCTCACGTTGCAAGACAAGCAAATCTAGCCTGAGTCTGTGGATTCCAGGGCTGCTTAGGAGGAACCTGCATTCCCGCGTGGATGACCTCAGGCTCCGCCCCTTCTGCCCCACTCAGCCCTCACCCAGTGCCTGAGAGCGCTCAATCAGAATGCGAGAGCAGCGCGGCGGCGCCCCCGTGTGGCCACAGGGACGAGGACAGAGGACCGGACCCCGCTCCCCTTTCTCACCAACCAGGACCTCCGAGGCTCTCCCTCTGCTCCCAGCACCTGGACAGGGCTCTGCACTCAAGGAGCCTCCGGGTCTCAAGTCAGGCTCTGAGTCCATTCAGCTTCCCAAAATCCATGTTGACAATGACATTTCCTCTCACCACTGAGTGACTGGACTTTTGCCTCAGAGCAGAGAGAGGCCTCCAGGGCAAAACAGTGGGATCAGATGTGGGGATGACACACCCCCAAATCCTTGCTGCCACAGGACCCAGTCCCTCAGCCTCCAGATGGGGCCTTGGCCTCCCGTCCCCTCCTTTGTTCCTGCTGCTAGAGGCTGCTCATCCCAGGAATCAGCCTGTTAGCCTCCAACCCTGGGGTCCAGGGACAGCAGCTCCTAGTGCCTCGGTCCAGGAAGAAGGGAACCTCCAGAGAGCAGAAGAGAGAAGAAATGGATCATAAGAGAAGGGGGCAAGGGGGGAGAAAGAGAGTGAAAGGAGCCAGGGAGGAGAGAAAAATGGAAAACATCCTGTTAGGAATGTGTGTGTTTGTGTTGATGTGTGTGCGTGCAGGTGTGTGTAGAGTGGGAGAGAGTTTCTAGGGTTCTGAGGAGAAGAGAGCTGCTATACAGGTGCTAAGGGGCCCAGCCCTGGGAATTTCAGGGTCCCGCTTTCTGAGCTAGGATCTTAAGGCCCTATCAGAGTCCACCCCCAGGAAGCCTGCAGTCATAGCACTGGGCTAGCTGGACGGCTGCCTCTTCTTTGCCTTTGACAGCAGGAGCTGCCATGCCAGGCCCAGGGGCCCTGGGGTCATGGGCAGAGAGCAGGTCCCTCTGCTGGCAGCCAAGGAGATGTTGTTCTTGGAGGGTCAAAGACTTACTTAGCTGGGAGTCTGAAGGTGGTCATGGGTTACAAAGGGGTTACAAAGAGCTCAGCGGTGAGCCTGGCCCAAGCTTCTGACCCCTTTCTTTGGATCTCAAGGGCTGACCATGGATTCTCAATGGATCTCAAGAATTCGCCCATTTACCTCTTGCCCCAGACCCTCCCCACTTCGATACCCTGGGACCCAGGCATCTGCCTCTTTCCTTCCCCTCCGGCCTCCCAAGCACCTCCAGGCCCTGCTCTCTGCCAACCTGAACTCCAGGACCCTGCAGCCCCACCCCAAAATTGCTTGATAATACAGTGATTCTATTTTCAGTGTTTTGAAAACTCTCTATACTGTTTTTTACAGTTGCTGTACTAGTTTTATACACTGTGTGTAAGAGTGCCCTTTTCTCCACGTCCTCACAAACATCTATTTGTTTGTTTGTTTGTTTTTGTCTTTTTAGTTGTACCCATTCTATCTGGGGGTAAGATGATATCTCATTGTGGTTTTGATTTGCATTTCCCTGATGATAAGTGATGTTGAGCATTTTTCATGTACCTGCTGGCCATTTGTGTGTCTTCTTTTGAGAAATGTCTATTCATGTCGTTTGTCCACTTTTTAATAGAATTTTTTGGTTTTTTTAGCTCTTGAGTTCCTTACATATTCTGGATATTAGTCCCTTGTCAGATAAATTGTTTGAAAATATTTTCTCCCATTCAACAGGTTGTCTGTCTACTCTTTTGATGGTTTTCTTTGCTGCGCAGAAGCGTTTTAGTTTATTATAGTCCCATTTGTCTATTTTGTTTGGGTTGTCTGTGCTTCTGAAGTCTTAGCCATAAAATCGTTACCCAGACCAATGTCCTAGAATGTTTCTCATATGTTTGCTTCCAGTTGTTTTATAGTTTTGGGTCTTACGTCTAAGTATTTAATCCATCTTGAGTTGATATTTATATAGGGTGAGATATAGGGATCTAATTCCATTCTTCTGCATGTGGATATCCAATTTCCCCAGCACCATTTATTGAAGAGGGTGTCCTTTCCCCAAATGTATGTTCTTGGCACCTTTGTCAAGAATCAGTTGGCTGTAAATATATGGATTTATTTCCAGATTCTCTATTATGCTGCATTGATTGACATGTGTTTGTAGAGACGAGGTCTCAGTATGTTTCCCAGGCTGGTCTAAAACCTCTGGGCTCAAGTGGTTCACCCTCCTTGGCCTCCCAAAGTGCTGGGATTACAGGAGTGAGCCACAGTACCTGGCCTTTGTGCTGTGTTTTGATTCATCATTATCTCCTAAGCCCTTTCCCAGCATTGATATTTTACTAAACACCCTATGATTAAATTATATCTCTACACCTTGAGATAAACAAAAAATTATATAAGCGGTAAAGACAAATATGAAAAAATAAAACTACTACCAATGTTATTAGGAGGATAACCTTAAAACATTTGAGTAAGAAAATTTTTCTTTTTTTCTTTTTTCTTTTTTTTTAGCTGTAACTGCTGGAATGGAAAATATTTCTTAAATGAGACAAATATATGAAAGTGAAAATGCTTAAACTTCAAAGGACTTACATTACATATACAGTCATTCTTTCTTAATGATAAGATAGGTTCTGAGAAATGTGTCCTTAGGTGATTTGGTCTTACGTGAACATCATAAAGTGTCCATACACAAAGCTAGATGATATAGCCTACTGCACACCTACGCTATATCATAAAGCCTATTGCTCCTAGGCTACAAACTTGGATAGCACATTACTATACTGAGTACTGTAGGCAATTGTAACACAATGGTAGGTATTTGTGGATCTAAACATATGTAAACAGAAAAAGTACAGTAAAAATATGGTAAAAAGATTTTTAAAATGGCACACCTATATAGGTTACTCATCATGAATGGAGCTTACAGGACTGGAAGTTGCTCTGGGTGAGTCAGCAAGTGAGTGGTGAGTGAACTGAAGGCCTAGGCCATTACTGTGCACTACTGTAGATTTTATAAATGCTGTACACTTAGGCTACACTAAATTGATTTTAAAAATAATTTTCTTTAATAATAAATTAACCTTAGCTTAATGTAACTTTTTTAACTTTATAAACTTTAATTTTTAAAACTTTTCAGCTTTTGTAATAGCACTTAGCTTAAAAGACCAACATGTTACAAAGCTGTACAAAAATATTGTTCCTTATATTTTCATTCTAGAAACTTATTTCTATTTAATTTTTTTTTACTTTTAAATCTTTTCTGTTAAAAAAAAAAAGACATAAATTAGCCTAGGCCGACACAGGGTTAGGATCAACAATATCACTATCTTTAGCCTTTACATCTTGTCCCACTGGAAGATTTTCAGGTGTAATAACATGCATGGAGCTGCCATCTCCTATGATAACAATGCCTTCTTCTGGAATACCTCCTAAAGGACCTGGCCGAGGCTGTTTCAAGTTTTTTTAATAATTAGAAGGAGCACACTCTAAAATAACAATAAAAAGTATAGTAAATATGTAAACCAGTAACATAGTCATTTATTATCATTATCAAGGATTATGTATTGTACATAACTGTATGTGCTAGACTTTTATAGGATTGACACTGCAGTAGGTTTGTTTACACCAGCATCACCACAAACATATCATTAATGCATTGTACTATGATGTACAGTGTCACCTACAATGTCACTACAGAGAAGAAACCCCCAAAATCTGCACTCCTAAGCTGCATATGCTTCAGGTGATACTCTAAGAAGCCCACCAGAGAACAGTTGCTTGGAGATTGCATGCTAAGTAGAAATGCCAAAGGCTTCAGAGTATGAGGAGATGTTGGAATTTTAGCCCAGCCAAACCTGGGTTGAGCCAACAGGGTGGTGAAGCACTATGAGTGAGAACCCTTGCCTTGGAGTAAGGACTGCACTGAACTAGACTCATGTTAACAAAGGCTAAAATCAAGCCTAAGCAGAATCAAAGTGGGTCTGATTTTTATGATAATTAATGAACCGTCAAGCAGTTAGCAGTCTTAGCAGGAAGATAGCAAAATCCAGAACCTCTGTAACACATCACCCAGAATATGTGGCATGCCAAGCAGCAGAAAAAATGCAACAAGTGGAGATAAAATAATCAACAGAAGCTGACTCAGATGATCTGGATACTGAAGCCAGCGAGCAAGGACATTCTTCAAAATATTTATGATTAATATGTTAAGGATAATAGAGGAAATCATGGGCAAACTATTTCATAATCCCCAGAAAGATCAATCATACAAAGAGAGAAAACACGAATGAACACTGTGAGAAGGGACAACTTATAAAACCACAGATTTTATTAAAATGAAAATAAGAGAATATTAGACACAACTTCATGACAATACCTTTTAAAATTTAGGTGCAATGAAATGAGTTCTTGAAAAACACAGTTGAACAAAGCCAACAGAAAACTAAGTAGAAAATATAAATAGTCCTCTATCCATTAAGAAATTGAATTTTAATTAAATTCCTTCCCACCAGAAAAACTTCTTACCACATTTCCTCCCATCAATTCTTTCAAAACTTAAAAAAGGAATGTCAGTCCTATATAGTCATCCCTTGGTATCCTTTTGGGCTGGGTTCTAGGACCCCTGTGGATACCAAAATCTGTGGATTCTCTGGTCCCATGTATAAAATGGCCTACTATTTGCCTACTACCTATGCATATCATCCCATATACTTTAAATCATCTCTAGATTACTTACAATACCTAGTGCAATGTACATGATTGTAAACAGTAGTTATACTATATTGTTTAGGAAATAACGACAAGAAAATGTCTGTACATCTTCAGTACAGATGTAACCACTGTCAGTAGGCCTAACTACAGAGTACACAACAGCAGCAACATAACATTTCCAATCCTCAGGTAGTTGAATTCACAGATGTGGAACACACAGACATGGAGGACAGACTGTCTTATATTTTATATAATGAAGAGTGGCCAGGCGCGGTGGCTCATGCCTGTAATCCCAGCACTTTGGGAGGCCGAGATGGGCAGATCACCTGAGGTCAGGAGTTCAAGACCAGCCTGGCCAACATGGTGAAACCTCATCTCTACTAAAAATACAAAAAAATTAGCTGGGCGTGATGACAGGTGCCTGTAATCCCAGCTACTCAAGAGACTAAGGCAGGAGAATCGCTTGAACCTGATAATTGCTAGGCTTTGAGTAAAGTAGTTTGACCTTTATAATGTGACCCTCCCTAAACAAGATGGAACTCTGCAGCAGACATCCTGGGATTTGAACTGCAATATCAGTCAACTGACCCACAAAGAGCTGGTTGGTTTGTGTACAGCATTTGCAAGATGAGTGGACAACATCCTGTTTGGAAGTCTACCCCTTTGATCAAAGAAGTTAAAAACAGGACAGTTTTTTTTTTTTTTTGGTTGAATTGCATGATGTTTTCTGAGAAGTGATGAAAGAATTGAACAATGACAAAAGTCCCTATGTCTTAGTTTTTACTGACTTATGGGCATTGACTGATGGCCTGGCCATATAATTAAGAGAGCAATGGAAAACTGGCCTATGAAAAGAATACCCGTATAGGACACAGTCCTGTGGAAATCACTATGGTAATTTGAGGGGTGCATTAATGTAAGGCATGTTGATGTCTGATATAAATTGGGTGTTGTCCCCACCCAAATCTCATGTTGAGATATAATCCCCAGTGTTGGAGGTGAGGCCTCGAGGGAGGTGATTGCATCATGGGGGTGGCTTCTCATGAATCGTTTAGTACCATTCCCTCAGAATAGTTCAATTAGTTCAATGCCCCTCAGAATAACCCTCCTCCAGGTTTGGAAGGTGATTGAAATCAACAAGCATTTATTTCTAAGTGCTTTCCAGGTGTACCTGTATTTCCAGCTACAAGAAGAACTGAGGCAGAAGGATCTCTTGAGCCCAGGAGTCTTAGTTTTGCCTGAGCAACTTTTGAGTCCAGGGAAAAATATCAATACCACATCTCAAAAAAATCCACGTTTGCTTGTGGTGATCACCTGGGTCCATGAAATAAGTAGACACTGAGGGCTGCAGCAATGCAGAGATAGGCTGAATCAAGATATATTCCTTTTACATCCTCCAACTCACAGGCACGAAATACCCATAAGGACTGTTCTGTTTAAGAAGAGACAGAGACAGCATATGGCTATGTAGCAAATTCTCTCATGGGAAGGTCTTGAAAATAGATAGCTGGCAAATTAGACTGATACCAGTACCCCTAGGAGGCAGCAAATGGGTCTTGGCAGGAATAGATACTGACCCTGGAGTAAGCATTGCTTAGCTGGTGGTAGATGTGTTATCAAACTGAACTGGGGCCCACTCACCTGGTGCAATAAAGGCAAACATCCACACTGAGATTTTGTAGTGGGAGAAAGGAAGGCGTTTATTTGCAAGGCACCAAGCAAGGAGAATCGGGCAGCTCACACTTAAGACCTAACCTCCAATGGCTTACAAGCAAGAGTTTTTAAGGCAGGAGTAAATTTCAGCAAAGCCGAGTTGCAGGCAACATCAAAAATCAATGCATAGAAATTACACACTGGTTTGGCCTAAAAAGGTGGGATATCCTGATGAGGGATCGTACAGGTCATAGGTGGATTGAAAGATTCTCTGATTTGTGATTGGATAAGGAGCCAAAGCTTTGTCTACACACTTAGGGGCAGTAGGGAGGAATGTTCAGGTCTGCTCTGTGGACCTGACTCTTTCCAGGCCCCTCAGGAAAAAATTTAGAACAAAGAGTCACAGTCAGCATTGAGTCCTCATTTTCCCCTTATCTGAGGTCTCCCTATCAGTGGCTCTGTTTGGTGAGAGTCTGGGTTCCTGAAAAACTACTCAAGGACATATGTTAAGATGTTCTCTTTAGTTTCTATAGAGAATCAAACATCTTGGGACTCTAACTTCCTTGGCTATTGTTTAAGCTATTTTTACCTGCTTGCTTATAAGGTCACTCACTTGCTTTTCAGGGCTGGCTAGGTGCCTGGAATTTCTCTTGAAGGAACTCAACATTTTCCTTTATTTCCATGTTAGGGAGGTCTAGCAGGCTTCTAAGATAAATCCCTACTTCATCTCAGATGCAAATGCTTAGAGCACTATAATAGAACCTGGACGGGAGATATTGCAACCATTTGCATCACTGAGTCACATTTCTTCACACCAGGAAACACATTTGCCCAAAATGTCCAACAATGTTCAGAAAAATATTTTGCTCAGAGGAATAGTTTCATAGAGAATAAAAATAGTCAAATGACACATTATTTGTATAAAGCAGGAGTGGGGAGACATAAGCATGAAGGGCGGGCTTACACACGTTCATGAGTGGGCTCACACCAGACATGAGTGTGGAAAAAGGAGTGTCCCCACTAGAGAGTATCCTCTTTTTTCCTGCTGGATCAGGGAAAGGTGCTAGTATGACCTGACATACGATTTTTCCCATGACAAGAGGACACTGGAATGATGACTAGACTTCACCTCAACTCGCCTTTCTCATACCTGATTCAGTGGTCTTAGGACAAGGGATGCATATAAAAGTGCTAAAACAGGAATTATTCCTAAGCAAGAAAGTGTAAATATATTTTAAAACCATTATGCAAGAATTCCTGAGGGCCTGGAGGAGTAGGTTGTGCCTTCACTGCATCTGGCAAAGTTGGGGCTAACACTGAATGCAGCTATATTGCCTGGGGTCAGATAGCCAACTAGTTCTCTACCTGCATAACCCTACCCTCTATGAACTGGAATGGACCAACGAGAGACACTTGCTAGAACAGTATTGCTCCCTTCAGTCTAGGCCAGCACAGTAGCAGAACTTAATGTTTCTTCCAAAACTATTAATGTTTGGTATAAATGAAGTAGAAGGAGGAATAGTAGCTGAGGGTAAATGAATGAATAAATGGGTTGTGTAATGAGGAAAATCCAATGTTACATGAACTCCCAAAAAAAAGAGGTATAAGCAAGAGATGATATTGTCTCTTGACAATGATGGTGCACCCCGTCTCCATGGGGACAGAGGGTCGTGTGCTCAGAGTGCTTCCAGACGTCGCCTCCTGCACTTCATCTGCCTGCTCATTTGTATCCTTTACAACTGCTATTGTTTGAATGTTTCCCCAGAAAAGCGTCTGTTGGAAACTTAATCCCCAGTGCAACAATGTTAAGAGATGGGACCTTTGAGAGGTGATTGGACCATCAGAGCTCTGCCTTCATTAATGAACTGATCAAGGCTGCCCTCATTAATGCTGATCATAAAGGACCTGAGCCTGTGAGTTCGACCTCTTACTCCCTCTAGCTCTCACCCTCTCTTGCACTTCTCCCTTCTGCCAGATACATTCCCTTGATTTTGGAATTCCCATCCTCGACAACCATGAGCCAATTAAATTTGTGTTCATTGTAAGTTATCCAGTCTCAGGTGTTCTGTTATAGTGGCATAATTTAAACCAGGGGTCCCTAACTCCCCTGCAGTGGACCGGTACAGGTTTGTGGCCTGTTGGGAACCAGACCGCACAGCAGGAGGTGAAGGGTGGGCGAGAAAGCATGAGCATGACCGCCTGAGCTCCGCCTCTGGTCAGATCAGTGGTGGCATTAGATTCTCATGGGAGCACGAACCCTATTGTAAACTGTGCATGCGAGGGATTTAGGCTGCACGCTCCTTTATAAGACTCCAGTGCCTGATCATCTGAGGTGGAACAGTTTCATCCCGAAACCCATCCCCGCCTACCCGTGCCGCCTGCCCTGGTCAGTGGAAAAATTTTATTCCATGAAACCAGTACTTGGTGCCAAATATGTTGAGGTAAGCTATGATTACCGCTGATTTAAGCTATGACAATAATAAACTGCAATACTGAGTGTGAAAGAAAGATAAAATCTTGGGACCCCAAACTCACAGTGCCAAAGGGAAAAGTTAAGTTTGGGAACTGAGTCATGGAAAAACTGCCTTTCTTTTGTTCCTAAACAAATACCTGCAAAGATAGAGGACCACATATCTCCCCAAGTGGCCTCCCTCACAATCTGCTCACAATGTAATTCCTTGTGGGCCCCAACATCTTTACCCTAAAACAGAGTTTTGTTGACTTTTCCCCTGACAATGTAAAGTAACAGCTTATCTTCACAGGTACAGGACAAAGACAAGACTAGAAATCATCCCTTCACCCACCCGGAGACAAACACATATTTTACTACTCTATGTTTACTTTAGCTTATGTAAAATTCAGATTTACTGAGCACAAGATGAATGCATAGTTGACTGTTTTTCCCCTTCTGCCTGCTCTTTCCCCTGTAAGTACTGAAGTCCTCAAAACCCTTTTAGGAAAAAGCGTGGGCCACAGATGCTAGTGATTTTTGTCTCTTTTTCCAAGGTGCATCTTGGAATGGGAGACTGGAGGGACCCATGGATCCCAACCCTGGACCTGGTTCCCCCAGTACAAGCCATGAGCCAGTTGAATCTGAATGCGAAGATGGAACGACGACTGACCAGAGTCATGCTGACATCAACCCCCATAACATGGGGACTGATCAAGAAAACCACACAGGAAGCTGAGAAACTGCTGGAGTGCCAGGGTGTCACCTTTTGCTGGAACTCAGAAGTACAATCGATGTTTAACGGACCAGTGCTTTCTGACTCAGCTCCTCTCTACCCTGAATACAAGAGACCCTAATAGTTAGGCAGGAATATCATCGCCCTTATTCTGCATGAAGAAGTTGCAGAAGACAGACCTTCATCCTTCTGCAACCCTTAGGATTAAGCGTCCTCTTGTAAAAAGGGAAGGGGGAGATATGTAAGAAACATTCAAACCACAGCAACTCTATTTTGAATAAGGGCTAAGAAAAATGAAGCTGGATCACCAACCGGCAATTAAGAGCTGCACAGCCTGCAATTACCTTGCTCAATTAATTTTAAAACAAAAAGGAGTAGATGTTGGAGGCCGCACGAATGTTTCTTATGATTTGCCACAATTGAAGCCTGCCAGTAACAATATGAACCTGTGATCAATTAAGCAGCTGACCAATCATTACCTCCTCCTCCTTGCCCTTATTACCCAGTAAATATGAAGGGCTAAGAAGCTCGGGCGGCGGCCTTTGCTCACTAGAAGCAGGGAGCTCTTTTCTTCTCGTCTCTCTTCTTCTTCCCCATGCTAGTCTTTCCTTAAAATGATGTAGGGTATCTGGCAGATAAAATTTCTAAGCAGCAAAGCATTCAAAGAGTGACTTGGGTGCTCCTAAAAGCATTCCATTTTCAAAGGGAAACAGAGCATAAAAGTTCAGAAAATTTACAGCCTGACAATGCAGTAGAAAAGAAAAACCCATTTTTTGAGGAGAAACTCAAGCTGGCTGCAGAAATTTGCATAAGTAACAACAAGCCAAGTGTTGATCCCCAAGACAAGGGGGAAAATGTCTCCAGGGCATGCCATAGGTCTTCATGGCAGCCCCTCTCATCACAGACCCAGAAGCATAGGAGGAAAAAATGGTTTCATGGGCAGGGCCCAGGGTCCCCATGCTATGTACAGCCTAGGGACTTGGTGCCCTGCATCCCAGATGCTCCCACTGTTGCTAAAAGGGGCCAAGGTACAGCTTGGTCCATGGCTCCAGAGGGTGCAAGCTTTAAGCCTTGACAGCTTCCATGTGGTTTTGAGCCTGCAGGTGCACAGAAGTCAAGAATGGAGGTTTGGGAACCTCCACCTAGATTTCAGAAGATGTATGGAAATGCTAGGATGCCCAGGCAAAAGTTTGCTGCAGGGGCAGGGCCCTCATGGAGAACCTCTGCTAGGGCAATGTGGAAGGGAAACGTGGGGCTGGAGCCCCCACACAGAGTCCCTACTGGGGCACTGCCTAGTGGAGCTGTAAGAAGAGGGCCACCGTGTTCCAGATCCCAAAATGGTAGATCCACCAACAGCTTGCACTGTGCATCTGGAAAAGTCACAGACACTCAGCGCCAGACTGTGAAAGCAGCCAGGAGGGAACATATACCCTGCAAAGTCACAGAGGCAGAGCTGCCCAAGATATGGGGACCTACCTCTTGCATCAGCATGACCTGGATGTGAGACATGGAGTCAAAGGAGATCATCTTGGGGCTTTAGAATTTGACTGCCCCACTGGATTTAGGACTTGCATGGGCCCTGTAACTCCTTTGTTTTGGCCAATTTCTCCCATCTGGAATGGCTGTATTTACCCAATACCTGTACCCCCATTGTATCTCGTAAGTAACTAGCTTGGTTTTGATTTTACAGGTTAATAGGTGGGAGGGACTTGCCTTGTCTCAGATGAGACTTTGGACTGTGGATTTCTGGGTTAATGCTGAAATGAGGAAAGACTTTGGGGGATTGTTGGGAAGGCATGATTGGTTTTGAAATGTGAGGACATGAGATTTGGAGGGGCCAGGGGTGGAATGACATGGTTTGGCTCTGTGTCCCCACCCAAATCTCATCTTGAATTATACTCCCATAATTCTTACATGTTGTAGGAGGGACCCAGTGGGAGATAATATGAATCATGGAGGCAGTTTCCCCCATACTGTTCTTGTGGTATTGAATAAGGCTCACAAGACCTGACGATTTTATCAGGGGTTTCCGCTTTTGTA
Organism: Homo sapiens; assembly: GCF_000001405.40. Taxonomy (NCBI): domain Eukaryota; kingdom Metazoa; phylum Chordata; class Mammalia; order Primates; family Hominidae; genus Homo; species Homo sapiens. Next base: position 1,752,575 of record NT_167247.2, read on the forward strand.
TCTTACTCATTTTCTCTTGCCACTGCTACGTAAAAAAAAATTCACCTCCTGCCATGATTCTGAGACCATCGAGCCATGTGGAATTGTAAGTCCAATTAAACTTCTTTTTCTTCCCAGTCTTGAGTATGTGTTTATCAGCAGTGTGAAAACGGACTAATATAGCTGGCTTCGTAGACTGAATTGAAAAAAACTGCCTACTTTAATTTCTAAAAGGTATGTGTAAAATTGATGTAATTTCTAAATTATATGTTTGATACAATTCATCAGTGAAGCCTTCTGGACCTAGACTTTCCTATATTAGAAGGATTTTGATTACAAATTCAATTTCTACAATCAATATATGGCTGACCACATTTTCTATCTCTTCTCAGGTCAGTTTTCATAAGTTTTCCCTCTCAAGGAAATTGTTCATTTCATTTGCTTGTCAAACTTATTGACATGAGATTATCAATATTTCTTTTTGAGATCTAGAGTGTGTACTGATGTTCTCTCTTTTATTGCTGACCTTGTTAATGTGTATGTTTTTGTCTTGATCAGTCTGGCTAGAAATTTATAAGGTGTACGATTTTTCCCTATAGAACCAATATTTGGATTCATTAATTTTCTCTTTCTGCTTCAGTTTTTTATTTTATTATTATTTCCTTCCTTCTGCATGCATTGGTTTAATTTGTTCTTCTTTGCTTCTTACAGGAGAAACTAATTTACTAATTTGAGACCTACCTTCTTTCTTAATATAGGCATTTAAGGATATCAGTTTTTTCTTCAGTACTGCTTGTTGGGAACAAATGCTCAGTGTTGTAAAGAAAGATCAGCACTGAGACAAAGGATCTCTCAGCAAGGCAATTGACTTCTGCAGAAAGGGTGCTACTTATGATGGAACGATGGCGAGTGCACACCTGAACAAAGGAGAGCAGGGGTTTTTTATAATCTCTTAATGCAGCTTGTCCCTGTAACTGTGTCTTGTCTCCATTGGCTGGAGTTGGACTGCACAATCTAAGCTGAACCTGGCTGGCTAACTTGAAAAGTGCAGGAATGTGGTTATACCAACAGAGAGTGCAGTCTTGGCGGGAGGAGCTGTTGCAACAGGAGGGTTAATCTATAGAGTGGGTAGCAGATGTGGGATGTGGTCTCCATAGATAAGGACTGGCGGGAAATTTGTTTACCAGGGCAGGGGATACAGAGCGTAAGGAAGTCTGGCCTTGAAAGCAGGGAACAAAGAGCCAGGATGCTGAGCAAGTTAACCCTTAAAGAGGAACTCTTTTTATATCTAACACTACTTCAACTGCATCCCATACATTTGATATGTTGTGCTTCAGTATTCTTCAGAAAACAGAAGACTTTCTAATTTCTCCTGTGATTTCCTCTTTGAATAAGTTGTTATTCAGAATTTTGATGTTTAATTTCCAATCCTTGGTATTTTCATGATCGTCCGTCTTAGTCAATCTGGGCAGTTATAAAAGAATTCCATAGTCTATGTGGCTTGCATACAACAGAAATCTATTTCTCACAGTTCCAGAGGCTGGGAAGTCAAAGATCAAGGCCTGGGAAGAGTCAGTGTATGGTGAGGGCTGCTTCCTGATTCATGGATGTTGCCGTTTCTTGGTGTCCCCACGTGGTGGAAGGAGCAAGCAATCTGGGGTCCCTTTTATAAGGGCATTCATTTTATTAATGAGGGTTTTGCCTTCACTGCATGATCACTTTCTAATGGCACAACCTCCAAACACCATCACATTAGAGATTAGGTTTCAATTATGAGTTTAAGGATGACAAAAGCATTCAGTCCCACATGACCATCTTATTGTTACAGATTTCTAATGTATTTCCATTATGGCCAGAAAATATATTCTGTATGATTTCAATGTTTTCAAATTTATTGTTTTATGGACTGAAATATGGTTTCTCCTGGTAAATATATCATTCATACTTCAGATAATTTGTGTTTTTCATTGATGTGCATATGCATATAAATAAATTAAGTCTGGGTGCTTGATAATGCTTTTCAATTTTCTATGTCTTTGCTAAATTTTTCTTAGTTTTTGTATTTATAGCTGAAAGAAAGCTTTAAAATGTCTAACCATGTTTGTAGAATTCTCTACTTCTCTCTGTAATTTTGTCAATTTTTCTTCATGAACTCTGAAGATTTGCTATTGGATCCATTTCTGGTTGCATGTCTTTCTGTTGATTTTACCCTTTTGTTATTATGAAGCGCCTCTTTTTCTCTCTGGTAATACATATTTGAAAATCTTTTACTGGTAGTAAAATAACCATTTCAATCCTCTGTGCTTAATGTTTGTATGGCATTGCTTTTTTCATCAATTTTTATTTATCTGTGCCTTCATATTGAAATTGCATGTTTTGCATGCAGATGTATGTTCATTGCAGCACTTGTCACAATAGCAAAGACATGGAATCAACCTAAATGCCCATCAATGGTGAACTGGATAAAGAAAATGTGGCACATATGCACCATGGAATATTATGCAGCCATAAAAAAGAACGAGATCATGTACTTTGCAGGAACATGGATGGAGCTAGAGGCCATTATCCTTTGCTAACTAATGCAGAAAAAGAAAACCAATTGCCACATGTTCTCACTTATGAGTGGGAGCTAAATGATGAGAACATATGGACATATAGAAGGGAACAACACACACCGGGGCCTACTTGAAGGCAACGGGTGGAAGGAGGGAGAGGATCAAGAAAAATAATGAATGGGTGCTAGGCTTAATACCTGGGTGGGTACTAATAGGTACAGAAACTATATGACTGTGGGCAGCAAGCCACCCAGGTGCCGAGGCAAGAGACTGAAGGCACAAGCTCTTCCAGTATAATAAAGAAAATACTTAAAATAAAAATAGTTGTATTAGACATAAAATATAGATATGATTATGTATAAATATTACTAATCATTAGTTTATGACATTACTCTTTATTCCAATATTATAATAATCTTTGTTCTACAATTATAACCTAGAAAAAACCAGGCCATACAGAGATAGGAGCTGAAGGGACACGGTGAGAAGTGAACAGAAGACAAGAGTGTGAGCCCTCTGTCATGCCTGGACAGGGCCACTAGAGGGCTCCTTGGTCTGGCGGTAACGCCAGTGCCTGAGAAGGCACCCATCACTCAGCAGATCGGGAAAGGGAGTCTCCCTTTGCCCGGGGGAGTTAGAGAAGCCTCTGCTCCACCACCTCTTGTGGAAGGCCCGACATCAGTCAAGCCCGCCCACAGCCATCTGGAGGCCTAAACGTCTCCCTGTGATGCTGTGCTTCAGTGGTCACGCTCCTGTTTGACTCTCATGTTCCACCCTCTACACCTGGCTCAGCCTTCTAAATAGCAGTAGCAAAAATTAGTGAAAGTACTAAAGTCTTTGAAATACATAGAAGAAATAATGACATAAACTGTCCCCTCTCTCTCTCCGCCTCGGCTACCGAACAGGGAAGGGCCCCCTGTCTGGTGGACACGTGACTCACGTGACCTTACCTATCATTGGAGATGGCTCACACTCCTTACCCTGCCACCTTGTCTTGTATCCAATAAATAACAGCGCAGCCTGGCATTCGAGGCCACTATCAGTCTCCGTGCCTTGGTGGTAGTGGTCCCCTGGGCCCAACTCTCTTTTCTTCTCTTTGTCTTGTGTCTTTATTTCTACACTCTCTCATCTCCACACACAAAGAGAAAAACCCACAGGTCCTGTAGGGCTGGAGCCTACATATGACAAACTCTCATGATACAAATTTACCTATACAAAAACCTGCACATGTACCCTGAACTAAAAATAAAAGTTAAATTAAAAAAAATAAAGTTCATGTCTTGAAAAGAGCATATGGTTGGGTTATTTTTTTTAATCCAGTCACAGAATCTCTGCCCTTAATTGGAGTGCTGATTTATGTAGGTTTTTGTCATTATTGATATGATAGGTTTTAGGTTTGTCATGTTATTTGCTCAGTTTTTCTTCCTCTGTTTCTCTTTTCCTGACCAATGATTTCTCATCAGAAACCAGAGAAACAAAATAAACTAGAATAACATCTTTAAAGTTCTGGAAGAAATAAAAGGTCAACTAAGAATTCTATATCCAGTACAGATGTCCTTCAAGATAAATGCAAAATAAGGAGATATTTCAGGTAAAAGATAATTAAGAGAATTTGTCACCAGCAGATCTGTACGATAAAAATTGGTAAAGAAAGTGTCTCAGGCTAAAAGCAAATGATACCAGGTGGAAAATGAGATTATCAGAAAAGATGAAGAATGTGAGAAGTGGTAAATATTAAGTGCGAAAGGCTATCTTGCTCCCCCCCCCCCATTTAATCTTACTTCATATACATAGAACTGTTTAAAGGTAAAATAAGATAGCTTTCTGATGGGGCTTATAACCTATGTAGATATATTACATATAATATCTATGGCATAAAAGATGGACGTTGTATAGAGGATAAATGGTTGCAAGATTTCTATATTTATGTGAACTAGTACATTATTAACTGAAAGTGGGCTGTGAAATGTTAAGAATGAGTTAAGTTCTGAAGGAAATCAAGACACAAAAAAATTCAATAGATCAACAAATTCAGGAGATGATTTTTGAAAAAGTTAATAGGATAGATAGGCTGATAGCTAGACTAATAAGGAAGAAAAGAGAGGCGATCCCAATAAGCATAATTAGAAATGACAAAACAGATGTTACCACTGACTCTGCAGAAGTAAAAATAACCATCAAAAGCTACTATGAACACCTGTATGCACACAAACTAGAAAACCTACAAGAGATCGATAAATTCTTGGAAACATACACCCTCCCAGGAAGAAATTGATTCCTTGAAAGGACCAATAATGAGCTCCAAAATTAAATCTGTAATAAATAGCCTACTAACCAAAAAAAGCCCTGAACCTGATGGATTCACAGCTGAATTCTACCAGATGGACGAAGAAGAGCTGGTACCATTCCTACTGAAACTATTCCAAAAAATTGTAAAGGAGGAACTCCTCCCCAACTCATTCTATGAGGCCAGCATCATCCTGATACCAAAGCCTGGCAGAGACAAAACAAAAAAAGAAAACTTCAGGTCAATATGTTTGATGAACATTGATGTAATAATCCTCAACAAGGTACTTGCAAACCAAATCCAGCAGTCCATCAAAAAGCTAATCTCAATGATCAAGTAGGCTTCATATCCAGGATGCAAGATTGGTTCAACACGTGCAAATCAATAAATGTGATTCATCACATACAGGGAACTAAAGACAGAAACCACATGATTATCTTAATAGATCCAGAAAAACCTTTTGATAAAATTCAACATTCCTTTATGTTAAAAACGCTCAATAAACTAGGTATTGCAGGAACATACCTCAAAATAATAAGAGCCATCTATGACAAACAAACAGCCAACATCATACCAAATGGGGGAAGCATTCCCCTTGAAACCCAGCACAAGACAAAGATGCCTTCTCTCACCACTCCTATTCAACAGAGTATTGGAAGTCCTGGCCACAGCAATAAGGCAAGAGAAAGAAATAAAAGGCATAGGGGAAGTCAGACTACCCCTGTTTGCAGACCATTACCAGTGAATGTTCCCTTAAGGCTCACAGGCTCTTATATCAGCTTGTGGTGAGTGCTGCTAACTAGTCTTTAATGGATTAAAATGTATAATGTGTTTCACTTGTGTATTAGTATGTTTTCACACTGCTGGTAAAGACATACCTGAGACTGGGCAATTTACAAAAGAAAGAGGTTTAACGGACTTAATGGTTCCACATGGCTGGGGAGGCCTCACAATCACGGTGGAAGGCAAGGAGGAGCAAGTCACATCTTGTGTGGATGGCAGCAGGCAAGAAGAGAGAGCTCGTGCAGGAAAACTCCCATTTTTTTAAAACCATTAGATCTCATGAGACTCATTCGCTATCACAAGAACAGTGCAGGAAAGACCCATCCAAAAATTCAATCACCTCCCACTAGGTTCCTCCCATGACAGGTGGGAATTGTGGGAGTTACAACTGAAGATGTGATTTGGGTGGGGACACAGCCAAACCATATCAACTTGTAAATTACTACAAAACTGTCAACACTTAGCCACTTCTGCTTCCTCAGGAAGGTCGGGGCAGCAGATCTGTGTGTTAAATATCTATGTGAAGTTATTTCCAGGAAGAAGTTTCATCTGTGGTTTCTTCTTCCCCAGGTCCCACAGTCTTCATTACAACCTCACGGTGCTGTCCCAGGATGGATTTGTATAGTCAGGGTTTCTCGCTGAGGGACATCTGGATGGTCAGCCGTTCCTGCTCTATGACAGACAGAAAGGCAGGGCAGGGGCCCTGTGGACAGTTGGCAGAAGCAGTCCTGGGAGCTGAGACCTGGGACACAGAGACCGAGGACTTGACAGAGAATGGGCAGGACCTCAGGAGGACCCTGACTCATATCAAGGGCCAGAAAGGAGGTGAGAGTCGGCAGGGGCAAGAGTAATGGCAGAGGCCTTCTCCAGGAGAGTTGGAGGCAGAGAGCAGGGACCTGTCTCTTCCCACTGGATCTGGCTGAGGGTGGGCTGAGAAATAGGGGTCAGTGGGGCTCAGCAGGGAGGTGAGCCGGCACTCAGCCCACTCAGGGAGACATGGAGGAGGGCCAGGGAGGGGTCCCAGCTGGGCTGAGTTCCTCACTTGGGTGGGAAGATGAGGGGTTCAGGAATGAACTGCTGGGTGGGGGCAGGCTTGCATTCCCTCCAGGAGATTAGGGTCTGTGAGATCCATGAAGACAGCAGCACCAGAGGCTCCCGGCATTTCTACTATGATGGGGAGCTCTTCCTCTCCCAAAACCTGGAGACTCAGGAATGGACAGTGCCCCAGTCCTCCAGAGCTCAGACCTTAGCTATGAATATCAGAAATTTCTGGGATGAAGATGCCACACAGGCCAAGACACTTTCACCCTGTGATGGCAGACCGTCTGCAGAAACTACAGTAACATCTCGAATCCTAGGAGGGCATCAGGAGAACAGGTACCGACCCTGGGCAGGGGCTTTCCTCTCCCCCATTTCACTAGAGTCACTCCCCTGCCAGCTCTGTCCTGGGAAACCCTCTCTGTGCTATGGATGCAGGCGTTTCCTGTTGGCGTATTGTGTCCTGACTTTCCTCTCTTGTTAGAGGCACTGGATAAAGACAGTGGGTTGGGGACTGAACCATCCAGTGTTGTAATCTGGGAAAGCAATGGCCCACTCCCAACAGAATCCTCACCCTGGGGTGGGTGTTAGGCAGGAGAGGAAGCCCTCAGGGCTAGGGCTGCCCCCTCTGCCTCCCAGCCTGCCCATCCCAGAGAGTTCCCTCCTGGCCTCATGACCCAGCAGTCCAATCCTGACATCCCTCCCCTTCAGCATCAATGTGGGGATCTCAGAGCCTGAGGCCATAGTCTGAGGCCCATCCTCCTGCCAGCCCAAAGGAATTGGGCCCCAGGGTAAGGACAGACTTGCAAAAGGTCCGGGGTCCATGAGGGCTTCAGCCAGAGTGAGAACACTGGAGAGGAGCAGCCCTGTTCCCTGAGTCTCCCTTAGAGGGAGCGGGGCTTGGCCATGTGCCTCACTGGTTCTGCCCTTTCCTATCCAGTGCCTACCATGGTGAATGCCAGGCCTCAGAGAACAAAGTCACCCCCACATGCTGGGCTTCCGGCTTCTATCCCCAGAATATCTCTCTGGCCTGGTGTCAGGTTGGGGCATTTTCTGAGCCAGGATGCCCATCGGTCTGTGGGTGTCCTGCCCAATGGGAATGGGACCTACCAGACCTGGGTGGCCACTAAGATTCCCCAAGAAGAGGAGCAGAGGGCTACCTGCTATGTGGGACACAGCAGGAATCACAGCACTTACCCTGGTGTCCTCTGGTGAGCCTGGGGCGACCCTCAAGTGTTCTGACCTAGAAAGGGTCAGGCCAAGGTGGGCACAGCAGAGATAACTGGAACTCTGAGTGCCCAGTGTGCAACAAGGCCCTTTTTTTCAGGGAAAGCCCTGATGCTTCAGAGTCTATGGCAACCGTTCCATATGTTGCGGCTGCTGCTGTTTTTGTTATCATTATTATTATTCTCTGTGTCCTTTGGTGCAAGAAGAAAATATCAGCTGCAGAGGACCCAGGTGAAAAAAGGGGGCAGTGGCTGGAGATGGGAGGGACCCTGTCTGGGCAGTAGGGTCCCCTCATAGCTCCTGCACAGACAGGCATGTAGGTGACAAGGCTTTGGAACAGGGTTTGGAAGTTGGGGTATTTGGGAGGGGAATAGGAGCTACAATTTCATCTAGACCCCTAAGTCCTGCCCAAGCCAGGGCCGGGCCAAAGCCCTCGAATGTCCATCTGTGGCCTCCTCTTGCTGCAGGTGAGGAGTGGGCAGCAAGGAGGGCCGTGGCACCTGCTCTGTCCTCATCCCCATCCCTCTGTCTCTCAGGCTCACCAGCGTGCATCAGCGTGGGGTGAGCTGGGAATCATGTGCTGATTGCTGAGGGCCTGGATGATGATGGCTTCAGAGGGGGCAAATAGTAAAGACGGCTGTGATCTGGAGAGGGCTAGAAACTGGAGAGGAATATGAGGAGAGGTGGTGCCTCTAGTCCCTTCCTCTCTGCATCCGCCTCCCCTGTTTCTCCAGCCATCAGGAGGACACCAAGAAAAAGACCTATGAGGCCCAGACTGGGGGGCCTGCCTGTGCAGCCCCTTGGAGACCCCCTTGTAACAGGGAGGGTTCTGAGTGCACACAGCCATCTTTGTCCACTTTGTAGCTCCCCACGCACCTCCTCCAGGAGCTGTCTCGGGGGTGTCGTGTCTCCTGGATCACTCGAGGCCGTGCTCTTTCCAGGTTCCCACCACATGGCCCTGCACCCTGAGTTCCCTTGCAGATAATATGGATGAGAAGATACGCAGATGTCTCTGGGCCATTTGGGGAGTGGTGACCAGCCCCTTGTCAGGGCAGCTGTCATCCCTGTTTTCATCCTACTTCTAGGTGTTTCCTTGTCCAGGCCCTGAAGGACACAGTCCCTCAGGGACACAGTGCTCAGGGACCATGTTTTTTGGGCTTTGTTCTGTGCTCTGTGGCCTCACCTTGCCCTCCCTGAGCCTTTCTCAAGGTGGTCACTTTCCTGTAAATTTGGAGTAAAGGATGGTCAGGATGATTTCCCCCACAGTCAGTTGTTTGAGGGGAAAGTAAAAGAGAAAACAGGAAGTTTTGTGTTTCTGCAAAGACAGAGGCAGTGCAGGGGACAGTGAGAGGCTGGGTGTCCAGGAAACTGGAGTCTTTCTGCCATTTCCCCACTTTTTTGCACCTGGTGGTGGGGGTGGGGGTTTTTCATCCTTGAACCTAATTGCACTGTCTGTTGGCCCCTCAGTCCTGGGCAGATGGGAAGGTTCATCCCCTGCCCTGCAGCAAGAGGGCCCCGTCCAGGAGGCACCCACAGCAGGGGCAGTGCAGGTTTGTGGTCGCTCCTGCTTTCACCTGCACTGTCTCCTATAGAGGGGTTGTCACTTCTGGGTCCCCGTGGGCAGGAAAGTTTGCCTTGTAGGTCACGGGGCATTGGCCAGGGAAAGGGTGTGAAAGTCATGTGCTAATTTCTCAAAAATTCTCCTTTAAATATTGATGTCCAATAAAGATGTTCACAATTTCCGCTGGATAATCTTAATAGGATTTCCTCTAATATTGATGTTGTAAAGCATGTACAATCAAATGAGAAGTCAAGCTTGGAGCTTCCTCTCCAGGAGGGTCCATGTTGGAGATGGTGGTTGTGGCAGTGGCAATCCTGGAGTGCAGAGGGTGGGTGGAGGCAGCCTCAGGCTGAGGGGTCTCCAGAAACCCCCTGCTCCACAGGGAGAAGAAGAAGATTCCCTGTGGGCTGTGAGGGCAGTGGCCTGGGTGGAAGCCCTGCTAGGAACAGGGCAGGAAGGTCTTGCAGCCTCAGCAAGCAGCAGCCCTGGGGTAGAGGTGCATTTCCAGGGGTGAGTGGACCAGGCAGGAGCAAGGATGGCCCAAGTGCAGGTCACGGACCCGGGTGGGTGCTGAGGGTCTGGAAAGGTTGGGTGTCCTCAAGCGTGGAGGGTCCCAGGATCCAGTCAGGTGCAGACCCGGTGGCAGCCACGTGTTTTTGTGCCGAGCCCCCAGGCTTCTTGATGGGCTCTGCAGTTAGGGGCTGGCTGCTCAGGGCTCGGAGGGTGGAACGCTGAGCTGCAGGTGGAGCGGGGAGCCCAGTGTGCAGGGTCTGCCCTGTTGTGCAAGTGCCTCTGTAGGTGAGGAGGGCCTGGGGACTGAGAGGGAGAAGGACCGCGTGCGTGACCCAGCCCAGGCCTGGTAGGACACGGAGCTCGGACCATCCTCTCTTTGGGGAGGTTTCCCACTGTGTCTAGGCTGGTGGGGCTTGGGAGGAGGGGAGGGCCCCGGGTTCCCTCCTGGATCTGATTCTTGTCCTTTAGTCATGAGGCCCTTTCATTCCCCACATGGTGGATGGTGGGCACAGGGCAGGTATCATTGTTGAGGGAATCACAGGAGGAGACTGGTGGAGGCTGGAGAAACTAGGATGGGAGGGAGGAAAAAGTGGGGGCGTCAGTTCTTCCCTCAGAGAAAGGGTGAATCTGATTTCGGAGTTTCTGAGGAGGGAGAAATCCTCAGGGAATGAAAAGCAGCACTCTGCACCCAGTGGAGCATTTACTGTTTCTCTCTTTTCTCCAGAGCACATGAGCCTACGAAGCCCAGATCAACACCTGGTTGGGACAGGAGACCACCAGGGCACCATACAGCTGGAATTTCAGTCTCTGGTGCCAGCTCCTGGGTCTGCTGGCTCCACTGGATTCAACTCCCTACCCAGGTCTCACCAGCACTTTCCCTCTTGATGCCTCAGTTTCCTCATATATTAAATGGGAAACTAACAGCACTTATTTCTTGTGGTCAGGGATTGACAACTGTTAGTTGCTATGAGGTGTTTGCAGCTGTGCCATAATATTCGGTATTATTATTTTTGTTGTTTTGTTATTATCTTATTAACTTTTATTATCTTTTAATGTATTGTATGTGCAGTAATTACATGCACAAAAGCACATATGTGCCTTTAAACACATTGTATGTGCATAAAAGCTTTATGAGTGTGTGTCCTGTTGACGGTTCCTCCTGGCAAGCCTGGGACCAGCCTTTTTGGCACCTTGAGGTCCCCTCACCCTTCGCACACTGTTATAAATTACCCCATGTCTACTATGTCTGCATAATTTTATACTGTGGATTTTTACTCTTTAAATAGACATTTCTGGCCTGTGCTTTATTTCATGCATCTGGGAAGAGTAGAATACAAGGTTCAGGGGAAAAGGAGAGGTCTGTCTCAATGCCTTGACACAGCATGAAGAAATCTCTCCCTCTTCCTACCTCTCCCTGCCAGTTCCCAGTGATTGACAGATTCACAGCAAAACAGAAAAGGAAAGGTTGGGGGTGGGGGTGCACATCTGGGGCCAAAATTCAGGGGCTGACTCTGGGGGAACATCTGCCCTGAAGAGTTGGATCCTTCATGTGATGATGTTGAGCTGAAGTGTAATATCAGAGATGGGGGCAGAGAGGGCTTTGAGTTTCCCTGGTATTGAAGAATAGGAGTCAGACTGCTTCTGGGGTGAAGCGACTGCTGGGAACATGTGAACCAAATTGATGAAGAATAAGTGAATGGGGAATGTGGGTGAGTAAAGCAAGCATCAGCAGTCAGTTTCTGCCATCAGTTCAGGCTGATCGGGGTAGGGAGGTGGGGAGATGGATATTCCCCACCCTGTTGCTCAATCCTTCCTGACTGCTGGGTGCACCAAAATCTCAGAAATCACCACTAAAGAATTAATTCAGGTAACCAAACACCACCCACCCCTAAAAACCTTGAAATAAAAAATAATTTTTTAAAAAAGTGGCCGGGCACGGTGGCTCACGCCTGTAATCCCAGCACTTCGGGAGGCCAAGGCGGGCAGATCATGAGGTCAGGAGTTCAAGACCAGCCTGATCAACATGGTGAAACCCCATCTCTACTAAAACGACAAAAATTAGCTGGGCATGGTGGCACATGTCTGTAATCCCAGCTACTCAGGAGGCTGAGGCAGGCGATTCTCCTGAACCTGGGAGGCGGAGTTTTCAGTGAGCCGAGATCGCACCACTGCAGTCCAGCCTGGGTGACAAAGCAAGTCTCCATCTCAAAAAAAAAAAAAAAAAAAGGAATGATATTGGATATCCTTATTTTGTCCCCAACACAGAGGAGTAGTTTTCAATATTTTTCTCATTAATTTTGACTTTAGATAGAGGTATTTCTTTTTTATAAATAACTTTATTAGCTTAAGGAAGTTCTCTTTTATTTCTGGTTTATTGAGTTTTTATAATGAATAGTTGTTGAATTTTATCAAATGATTCTCATGCATCTGTTGACATAACTGCATGTTTTTCTACCTTTTTCTATTCATGTGGTAAATTACTCTGATTTTTTAAAGTCACATTTCTCTTATAAATCCCATTCAGTCCCATTGTACATTATCCTCTCCATATATTACTTGCTTCTATTTTCTAATATTTTAGATGGAATTTTGGTGGCTGTGTTCATCAGTTCATTCAGATGGTGGATATCTTTTTTGTAATGTCATTGTCATGTTTAAGTTCTTCTCTGGGCTATGTTGTCTCATAAAATTAGTTGGAAGGTGTTTACTCTTTTTTTATTATCTAAAAGAATATATGATAGTCTGCCCTCCATGTCTGTGTGTTTCACATCTGTGAATTTAACTACCTGAGGATCGAAACTGTTGTTGCTGCTGATGTATACTATGTAGTTAGGCCTACCTACAGCGGTTACATCTGTACTGAAGATATATAGACTTTTTCTTATCATTATTTCCTAAACAATATAGTATAACAACTATTTGCGAATAATTTACATTGAATTAGGTATTAGTAATCTATAGGTGATTTAAAGTATATGGGAGGATGTGCATAGGTAATAAGCAAATACTAGACCATTTTATACATGGGACCTGAGCATTCATAGATTTTGGTATCCACAGGGGGCCCTAGATCCCATCCCAAAAGGATACCAAGAGATGACTGAATAAGACTGACTTTTTTAAAAAAAGTTTTGGAAGAATTGACAGGGGAAAAAACGTGGGCAAAGAGTGTTTTTGGTGGGAAAGAATTTAATTAGAATCCCATTTCTTAATGGATATAGGACTACTTATATTTTCTATTCAGTTTTCTGTTGGCTTGTTCAATTGTCGTTTTCAAGAACTCATTTCATTGCACCTAAATTTTAAAAGGTATTGTCAGGAAGTTGTGTCTAATATTCTCTTATTTTCATTTTAATAAAATATACGGTTTTATGTTGTTCTTTATAGTGTTCATTTCTGTTTTCTCTCTTTTTATGATTGATCTTTCTGGGGATTTTGAAATAGTTTGCCCATCTTTCCCTCTATTTTCCTTAACATATTAATCATAAATACTTTGAGAATGTTCTTGCTTGCCTGCTTCAATATCCACATCAACTCTTAGCCTGATTTTTTTTATTATACTTTAAGTTTTAGCGTACATGTGCACAACATGCAAGTTAGTTACATATGTATGCATGTGCCATGTTGGTGTGCTGCACCCATTAACTCGTCATTTAACATTAGGTATATCTCCTAATGCTATCCCTCCCCACTTCCCCCACCCCACAACAGTCCCCGGTGTGTGATGTTCCCCTTCCTGTGTCCACGTGTTCTCATTGTTCAATTCCCACCTATGAGTGAGAACACGAGGTGTTTGGTTTTTTCTCCTTGCGATAGTTTGCTGAGAATGATGGTTTCCAGTTTCATCCATGTCCCTACAAAGGACATGAACTCATCATTTTTTATGGCTGCATAGTATGATAGACTGGATTAAGAAAATGTGGTACATATACACCATGGAATACTTAGTCTGATTTATCTCTACTTGTTGCATTTTCTCTGCTGCTTGGCATGCCACATATTCTGGATGATGTGTTATAGAGGCTCTGGATTTTGCCATCTTCCTCCACAGACTGCTAACAATTTGATAGTTCATTAATTATAAAAGAATTACCTTTGGTAAAAATCGGACCCACTTTGATTCTGCTTAGGCTTGATTTTATTTTATTTTATTTTATTTTATTTATTTTTTTGTTATACTTTAAGTTTTAGGGTACATGTGCACAATGTGCAGGTTAGTTACATAGGTATACATGTGCCATGCTGGTGTGCTGCACCCACTAACTCGTCATCTAGCATTAGGTATATCTCCCAATGCTATCCCTCCCCCCTCCCCCCACCCCACAACAATCCCCAGAGTGTGATGTTCCACTTCCTGTGTCCATGTGTTCTCATTGTTCAATTCCCACCTATGAGTGAGAATATGCGGTGTTTGGTTTTTTGTTCTTGCGTTAGTTTACTGAGAATGATGATTTCCAATTTCATCCATGTCCCTACAAAGGACATGAACTCATCACTTTTTATGGCTGCATAGTATTCCATGGTGTATATGTGCCACATTTTCTTAATCCAGTCTATCATTGTTGGGCATTTGGGTTGGTTCCAAGACTTTGCTATTGTGAATAGTGCTGCAATAAACATACGTGTACATGTGTCTATATAGCAGCATGATTTATAGCCCTTTGGGTATATACCCAGTAATGGGATGGCTGGGTCAAATGGTATTTCTAGTTCTAGATCCCTGAGGAATTGCTACACTGACTTCCACAATGGTTGAACTAGTTTACAGTCCCACCAACAGCATAAAAGTGTTCCTATTTCTCCACATCCTCTCCAGCACCTGTTGTTTCCTGACTTTTTAATGATTGCCATTCTAACTGGTGTGAGATGATATCTCATAGTGGTTTTGATTTGCATTTCTCTGATGGCCAGTGATGGTGAGCATTTTTTCATGTGTTTTTTGGCTGCATAAATGTCTTCTTTTGAGAAATGTCTGTTCATGTCCTTCGCCCACTTTTTGATGGGGTGGTTTTTTTTTTCTTGTAAATTTGTTTAAGTTCTTTGTAGATTCTGGATATTAGCCCTTTGTCAGATGAGTAGGTTGTGAAAATTTTCTCCCATGTTGTAGGTTGCCTGCTCACTCTGATGGTAGTTTCTTTTGCTGTGCAGAAGCTCTTTAGTTTAATTAGATCCCATTTGTCAATTTTGGCTTTTGTTGCCATTGCTTTTGGTGTTTTAGACATGAAGTCCTTGCCCATGCCTATGTCCTGAATGTAATGCCTAGGTTTTCTTCTAGGGTTTTTATGGTTTTAGGTCTAACGTTTAAGTCTTTAATCCATCTTGAATTGATTTTTGTATAAGGTGTAAGGAAAGGATCCAGTTTCAGCTTTCTACATATGGCTAGCCAGTTTTCTCAGCACCATTTATTAAATAGGGAATCCTTTCCCAAGGCTTGATTTTAGACTTTGCTACTTTGCTATTTCAGTGTGGTACTTACTCCAAGGCCACGGCCCTCACTCATAGTGCTTCACCATCCTCATGTCTCAACCCGGGTTTGGCTGGGCTAAATTAATTCCAATATCTCCTCACACTATGAAGCCTTTGGCATTTCTACATAGCATGCAATCCCCAAGCAGCTGTTCTCTGGTGGGCTTCTTACAGTATCACCTGGAGCATATGCAGCTTTGGAGTGCAGATTTTGGGAGTTTCTTCGCTGTAGCTCCCTCCTTCAGCACCCTACCCTTAAATCCCAGTCAAAGTGCCAAGCCTGAACTCTGATCTCTGATTCCTTTGCTACTGAGATTGATTCTCTCTGCTTGGGTTCCATTTCCCTTCATTGAATTTTGAAAAAAATCCTCTTAGAAAGAAAGCTGATGAGGATGTGAGTCTCTCTTTCAGGGACTCCATTCCCTGGAGGGTGATAGTCCTGCTCTGGCTGCTGTTTTGCAGCTGCACAACTGCATCGTGTTTTGTCTGGCTTTTATACTTGTTTACAGTGGGAGGATGAGTTTTAAATGAGCTAGTCTATCACAGTTCAAGTCAGAAGACCTCTAATCCTTCAATAGTCATTGCATTTGAAAATCTGAATAGGGTAATTTGACAATTCACAGGCAAAGTTAATATGTTATATCTTAGTGCCCAGTTGAAACCTCAATTTCATCTTTAACAACCTTATACACACAAAATACACACACACACACACACATCACTGTGTTATACAGTCATGCACTGCTTAATGATGTTTCTGTCAATGATTGATCACGTATACGACTGTCATCCTATTAAACGGAGCTGAAAAATTCCTATCACCTAGTGACATTGTAGCCATTGTAATGTCATAACACAATGCATTAATCATGTGCTTGTGGTGATGCTGATGTAAATAAACCTACTGCACTGCCAATCCTATAAAAGTCTACCCCATACAGTTAAAAACAGCATGTAATACTTGATGATAATAAATATGTTACTGGTTTATGTATTTACTATACTTTTTATGGTGATTTTAGAGTGTGCTCTAATTATTTTTTAAGTTAAATTAAAACAGCGTCAGGCAAGTCCTTTAGGAGGTATTCCAGAAGAAGGCATTGTTATCACAGGAGATGACAGTTCCATGCTTGTTATTACCTGTGAAATAACAGTGGGACAAGATGTGAAGGCTGAAGTTGGTGATATTGTTGATCCTGACCCTGTGTCAGCCTAGGCTAATGTATGTCTTTGTTTTTACCAAAAAAGATTAAAAGGTTAAAAAATTAAGTAGAAATAGTTTCTAGAATGAGAATATAAGGAAAAATATTTTTGTATAGCTGAATAATGTGCTGGTGTTTTAAGCTAAGTGCTATTACAAAATAGTTGAATTTTTTTAAAAAATTAAGGTTTATAAATATGAAAAAGTTCAAGACTTGAACTCAGCTTTGGATCAAGTGGATCTGATAGACACCTACAGAGCTTTCCACCCAAAAACAACAGAATATACATTCTTCTCATTGCTACACAGCACCTACTCTAAAATTGGTCACATAATCAAAAGTAAAACACTCCTCAGCAAATGCAAAAAGAACTGAAATCATAATAAACAGTCTCTCAGACCACAGCACAATCAAATTAGAAACCAAAAGTAAGAAATTCGCTCAAAACCATACAACTACATGGAAATTGAACAACCTGCTCCTGAATGACTGTTGGGTAAATTATTAAATTAAGGCAGAAATCAATAAGTTATTTGAAGCTAATGAGAATGAAGAGACAATGTATCAGAATCTTTGGGACACAGCTACAGCAGTGTAAAGAGGGAAATTTATAGCACTAAATGCCTATATCAAAACACCAGAAAAATCTCAAGTTAACAATCTAGTATCACAACTAAAAGAACTAGAGAAACAAAAACAAATCCCAAAGCTAGCAGAAGACAAGAAATAACAAAGATCGGAGCTGAACTGAAGGAGAGAGAGACACACAAAACCCTTCAAAACGTTAATGAATCTAGGAGCTGTTTTTTTGAAAGAATTAATAAAATAGACCACTATCTAGACTAATAGAGAAGAAGAGAGAGAAGAATCAAATAAACAAATCAGAAATAACAAGGGTGATATTACCACTGGCCCCACAGAAATACAAACAACAATCAGAGAATACTACGAACACCTCTATGCAAATAAACTAGAAAATCTAGAAGAAGTTGATAAATTCCTGCCCACATACACCCTCCCAAGACTGAACCAGGAAGAAATTGAAACTCTTAGCAGGCCAGTAATGAGTTCTGAAGTTGAGGCAATAAATAGCCTACCAACCAAAAAAAGCCGAGGACCAGACAGATTGATAGCTGAATTCTATCAAAAGTACAAAGGAGAGCTGGTACCATTTTCACTAAAACTATTCCAAACAATTGAAAAGGGGGGACTCTTCCCTAACTCATTTTAAAAGGCCAGCATCATCCTGATACCAAAACTTGGCAGAGATATAACAAAAAAAGAAAACTTCGGGCCATGCATGATGAACATCAATGCAACAATCCTCAATAAAATTCTGGCAAACCGAATCCAGCAGCACATCAAAAAGCTTATTCATCACAATCAAGTTGGCTTCATCCCCAGGATGCAAGGTTGGTTCAACATACACAAATCAATAAATGCGATTCATAACATAAACAGAACTAAAGAAAAAAACCACATGATTATCTCAATAGATGCAGAAAAGGCACTTGATAAAATTCAATATACTTTCATGTTAAAAACTCTTAATAAACTAGGTGTTGAAGGAAGAGATCTCAAAATAATAAGGGCAATATATGACAAACCCACAGCCAATATCATACTGAATGGGCAAAAGCTGGAAACATTCCCCTTGAAAACCGGCACCAGACAAGCCTCTCACCACTTATATTAGTTTCACCATCATGAGAACAGCAGTTTCTTAAGCTGATAAGGAACTTCAGCAACGTCTCAGGATACAGAATGTGCAAAAATCGCTAGCATTCCTATATACCAACAACAGGCAAGCAGAGAGCCAAATCATCAACTCCCATTCACAATTCCTACAGAAAGAATGAAATACCTAGGAATACAGCTAACAAGGGAAGTGAAGGACCTCTTCAAGGAGAACTACAAACCACTGCTCAAAGAAAAATCAGAGAGGATACAAACAAATAGGATAACATTCCATGTTCATGGATAGGAAGAATCCATATCATGAAAATGGCCATACTGCCCAAAGTAATTTGTAGATGTGATGCTATTCCCATTAAACTATCATAGACATTCTTCACAGAATTAGAAGAAAAAAAAACACTATTTTTTTTTTTAAGATAGAGTCTTGCTCTGTCACCCAGGCTGGAGTGCAGTGGCGTGATCTCGGCTCACTGCAACCTCCGCGTCCCCGGGTTCAAGCGATTCTCCTGCCTCAACCTCCCAAGTAGCTGGGATTGCAAATGCGCACCACCACGCCCAGCTAATTTTTGTATTTTTAGTAGAGATGGGGTTTCACAATGTTGGCCAGGCTAGTCTTGAACTCCTGACCTCATGATCTGTCCACCTCAGCCTCCCAAAGTGCTGGGATTATAGGCGTGGGCCACTGCGCCTAGCCTGAAAAAAAAAACAAAACTATTTTTAAATTCATATGGAACCAAAAAAAGAGCCTGAATAGCCAAGACAATTCTAAGCAAAAAGAACAAAACTGGAGGCATCACATTACCTGACTTCAAACTATACTACAAGGTTACAATACTAAAACAGCATGGTACTGATACAAAAACAGATACATAGACCAATGGAACAGAATAAAGAACTGTGAAATAAGATCACACACCTACAACCATCTGATCTTTGACAAGTCTGACCAAAACAAGTAATGGGGAAAGAATTCCCTATTTAATAAATGGTGCTGGGAGAACTGGCTTGCCATATGCAGAAAATTGAAACTAGGCCCGTTCCTTAAACTATATACAAAAATTAATTCAAGATGGATTAAAGACTTAAATGTAAAACCCAAAACTATAAAAACGCTAGAAGAAAATCTATGCAATACTCTTCAGAACATAGGCATGGGCAAAGATTTCATGATGAAGACTCCAAAAGCAATTGCAACAAAAGCAAAAATTGACTAATGGAATTAATTAAACTAAAGAGCTTCTGCACAGCAAAGGAAACTATCAGCAGAGTGAATAGACAACCTGCAGAATAGGAGAAGATTTTTGCAATCTATACATCTGACAAAGGTCTAATATCCAGAGTTTACAAGGAGCTTCAGCAAATTTACAAGAAAAAAACAAACAACCCCATTAAAAAGTAGGCAAAGGACATGAGCAGACACCTCTCAAAAAAAGACATACATGCAGCCAACAAACATATGAGAAAAGTTGAACATCACTGATAATTAGAGAAATGCAAATAAAAACCACAATGAGATACCAGAGTGGCTATTAATAAGTCAAAAAACAAGAGATGCTGGTGAAGTCACAGAGAAAAAGCAATGCTTTCACACTGTTGGTGGAAATGTAAATTCGTTCAACCATTGTGGAAGACAGTGTGGTGATTCCTCAAAAACCTAGAGGCAGAAATTGACCTAGCAATCTCATTACTGGATACTTACCCAAAGGAATATAAATCATTCTATTATAAAGATATATACACGCATATGTTCATTGCAGCACTATTCACAATAGCAAAGACATGGAATCAACATAAATGCCCATCAATGATAGACTGGATAAAGAAAATGTGGTACATATACAACATGGAATGCGATGCAGCCACATAAAGGAATAAGACCATGTCCTTTGCAGGGACATGAATGGAGTGGGAAGCCATTATCCTCAGCAAACTGACCCAGGAACAGAAAACAAAACACCATGTGTTCTCACTTATAAGTGGGAGCTGAATGATGACAACACATGGATACATGGGGGAGAACAACACACACTGGGGTCTGTTAGAGGGCATGGGGCTGGGGGAGGGAAGCACCAGGAAGAATAGCCAATGGATGTTGGCCTTAATACCTAGGTGATGGGACGATCTCTGCAGCAAACCACCATGGCACACATTTACCTACGTAACAAACCTGCACATTCTGTACATGTACCCCTGAACTTAAAAAAAGGGTGGAGAAAAAAAGATTAAAAAGTTACAGTAAGCTAAGATTAATTTATTATTAAAGAAAGAAAATGATTTTTAAAATTAATTTAGTGTAGCCTAAATGTACAGTGTTTATAAAGTCTAAGTAGTGTATAGTAATGCCCTAGACTTCACATTCACTCGCCACTCACTGACACCCAGAGCAATTTCCAGTCCTGTAAGCTCCATTCATGGTAAGTGCTCTAGACAAATGTGCCAGTTTTTAAAAAATCTTTTAACCACATTTTTGTGGCAAAATTTTGTGGGAAAATTCAAAGTCTTTTTTCTACTGTTCTTACACCCCAACAACTATCAACACAGAAGGCTTCTGCGATGAAACGTAGGGGATTTCTCCCCAAAAACAAGCAAACAATCGGTTCTGTTATGGACGCCAGCTGGGTATCCTCTAACTCAATTCTGACACTATCTCCCTGGAGATAATTTTAGATCCCGCAAGTTGATGGCTCAGTCCTCACGACTGTCACCCTCTCACTTCTGATGACAATCTCAAGCCCCAGATTATTTTGCCTGTGTTGCTAACTCACTGACTATAAATCAGGGTTCCCAAAACCCACCCTCAGGTTTGATTGATTTGCTAGAATGGCTCATAGCATGCCAGGAAACACTTACATACATTAACCAGTTTATTTAAAAGGATATTTTAAAGGATAAAGAGCCACATGAAGAGATAAGAGCCACATGAAGAGATACATAGGGTGAGGTCTGAAAGGGTCTTGAGTGCAGGAGCTTCTGCCCCATGTGTTTGGGAAGTGCTACCCTCCCTGGCACATGTCTGAGTTATTGTTCACCTTCCTATAAGCCTCCCTGTGTTCAGCCATACAGAAGCTCTCTGACTCTTCCCTTTTGGGTTTTGATGGAAGCCATATTTCTTAGGCATGATTCATTACATCATGGCCATCAGCTTAACCTTCAGCCTCTCTTGCCTTCCTGCCAATGGTATAATCCTATGTCTAAAAAAATCTAAAGATGCCACCAAAAAACAATTAGATCCAATAAATAAATTCAGTAAAGTGGCAAGATGCAAAATCAACATGCAAAAATCAATATAATGTCTACACATTAGTAATGAAGTAGCTAAGAAAGAAATTTAAAAGCAGTCCCATTTATGATAGCGACAAAAACCCCCCAGAAAAACAGGAATAAATTTAAGCAAGGAAATGAACAATCTCTTTACAAAAACCTACACAACCCTGGGGAGCAGTTCCAAGATGGCCAAATAGGAACAGCTCCAGTCTATAGCTCCCAGCGTGAGCCATGCAGAAGATGGGTGATTTCTGCATATCCAACTGAGGTACCAGGGTCATCTCACTGGGGCTTGTCAGACAGTGGGTGCAGAACAGTGGGTGCAGTGCACCGAGCATAAGCTGAAGCAGGGCAAGGCATCGCCTCACCCAAGAAGCACAAGGGGTCAGGAAATTCCTTTTCCTAGCCAAGCAAAGCTGTGACAGACGGCACCTGGAAAATCGGGTAGCTCCCACCCTAATACTGCGCTTCTCCAATGGTCTGAGCAAATGGCACACCAGGGGATTATATCCTGCACCTGGCTCGGAGGGTCCCAAGCCCATGGAGCCTCCCTCATTGCTAGCACAGCAGTCTGAGATCAAACTGCAAGGTGGCAGCAAGGCTGGGGGAGGGGCGCCCACCATTGCTGAGGCTTGAGTAGGTAAACAAAGCGACCGGGAAGCTTGAACTGGGTGGAACCAACTGCAGCTCAAGGAGGCCTGCCTGCCTCTGTAGACTCCACCGCTGGAGGCAGGGCATAGCCGAACAAAAGGCAGTAGAAACCTCTGCAGACTTAAATGTGCCTGTCTGACAGCTTTGAAGAGGGTAGTGGTTCTTCCGGCATGGAGTTTGAGATCTGAGAATGAACAGACTGCCTCCTCAAGTGGGTCCCTGACCCCTGAGAAGCCTAACTGGGAGGCATCTCCCTGTAGGGGCAGACTGACACCTCACACGGCCAGGTACCCCTCTGAGACAAAACTTCCACAGGAACGATCAGGCAGCAACATTTGCTGTTCAGCAATATTCACTGTTCTGCAGCCTCTGCTGCTGATACCCAGGCAAACAGGGTCTGGAGTGGACCTCCAGCAAACTCCAACAGACCTGCAGCTGAGGGTCCTGACTGTTAGAAGGAAAACTAACAAACAGAAAGAACATCCACACCAAAACCCCATCTGTACGTCACCATCATCAAAGACCAAAGGTAGATAAAACCACAAAGATGGGGAAAAAACAGAGCAGAAAAATTGAAAATTCTAAAACTCAGAGTGCCTCTCCTCCTCCAAAGGAATGCAGCTCCTCACCAGCAACGGAACAAAGCTAGACGGAGAATGACTTTGATGAGCTGAGAGAAGAAGGCTTCAGACGATCAAACTTCTCCAAGCTAAAGGAGGAAGTTCAAACCCATTGCAAAGAAGTTAAAAACCTTGAAACAAGATTAGACGAATGGCTAACTAGAATAACCAATGCAGAGAAGTCCTTAAAGGACCTGATGGAGCTGAAAACCATGGCAGGAGAACTACGTGATGCGTGCACAAGATTCAGTAGCCGATTCAATCAACTGGAAGAAAGGGTAACAGAGATTGAAGATCAAATGAATGAAATGAAGCAAGAAGAGAAGTTTAGAGAAAAAAGAATAAAAAGAAATGAACAAAGCCTCCAAGAAATATGGGACTATGTGAAAAGACCAAATCTACGTTGGCTTGGTGTACCTGAAAGTGACAGGGAGAATGGAACCAAGTTGGAAAACACTCTGCAGGATATTATCCAGGAGAACTTCCCCAACCTAGCAAGGCAGACCAACATTCAAATTCAGGAAATGCAGAGAATGCCATAAAGATACTCCGTGAGAAGAGCAACTCCAAGACACATTAATGTCAGATTCACCAAAGTTGAAATGAAGGAAAAAATGTTAAGGGCAGCCAGAGAGAAAGGTTGGGTTACCCACAAAGGGAAGCCCATCAGACTAACAGCGGATCTCTCAGCAGAAACTCTACAAGCCAGAAGAGACTGGGGGCCAATATTCAACATTCTTAAAGAAAAGAATTTTCAACCCAGAATTTCATATCCAGCCAAACTAAGCTTCATAAGTGAAGGAGAAATAAAATACTTTACAGACAAGCAAATGCTCAGAAATTTTGTCACCTCCAGGCCTGCCCTACGAGAGCTCCTGAAGGAAGCACTAAACATGGAAAGGAACAACTGGTACCAGCCACTGCAAAAACATGCCAAATTGTAAAGACCATCGATGCTAGGAAGAAACTGCATCAACTAACAAGCAAAATAACCAGCTAACATCATAATGACAGGATCAAATTCACACATAACAATATTAACCTTAAATGTAAATGGGCTAAATGCTCCAATTAAAAGACACAGACTGGCAAATTGGATAAAGAGTCAAGACCCATCAGTGTGCTGTATTCAGGAAACCCATCTCATGTGCAGAGACACACATAGGCTCAAAATAAAGGGATGGAGGAAGATCTACCAAGCAAATGGAAAACAAAAAAAGGCAGGGGTTGCAATCCCAGTCTCTGATAAAACAGACTTTAAACCAACAAAGATCAAAAGAGACAAAGAAGGCCATTACATAATGGTAAAGGGATCAATTCAACAAGAAGAGCTAACTATCCTAAATAGATATGCACCCAATACAGGAGCACCCAGATCCATAAAGCAAGTCCTGAGTGACCTACAAAGAGACTTAGACTCCCACACAATAATAATGGGAGACTTTAACACCCCACTGTCAACATTAGACAGATCAACGAGACAGAAAGTTAGCAAGGATATCCAGGAATTGAACTCAGTTCTGCACCAAGCGGACCTAATAGACATCTACAGAACTCTCCACCCCAAATCAACAGAATGTACATTCTTCTCAGCACCACACCGCACTTATTCCAAAATTGACCACATAGTTGGAAGTAAAGCACTCCTCAGCAAATATAAAAGAACAGAAATTATAACAAACTGTTGCTCAGACCACAGTGCAACCAAACTAGAACTCAGGATTAACAAACTCACTCAAAACCGCTCAACTACATGGAAACTGAACAACCTGCTCCTGAATGACTACTGGGTACATAATGAAATGAAGGCACAAATAAAGATGTTCTTTGAAACCAATGAGAACAAAGACACAGCATACCAGAATCTCTGGGACACATTTAAAGCAATGTGTAGAGGGAAATTTATAGCACTAAATGCCCACAAGAGAAAGCAGGAAAGATCTAAAATTGACACCCTAACATCACGATTAAAAGAACTAGAGAAGCAAGAGCAAACTTTACATTCAAAAGACAGCAGAAGGCAAGAAATAAGTAAGATCAGAGCAGAACTTAAGGAGATAGAGACATAAAAAACCCTTCAAAAAATCAATGAATCCAGGAGGTGGTTTTTTGAAAAGATCAACAAAATTGATAGACCGCTAGCAAGACTAATAAAGAAGAAAAGAGAGAAGAATCAAATAGACACAATAAAAAATGATAAAGGGGATATCACCACCGATCCCACAGATATACAGACTACCATCAGAGAATACTATAAACACCTCTACGCAAATAAACTAGAAAATCTAGAAGAAATGGATAAATTCCTCAACACATACACCCTCCCAAGACTAAACCAGGAAGAAGTTGAATCTCTGAATAGACCAATAACAGGCTCTGAAATTGAGTCAATAATTAATAGCTTACCAACCAAAAAAAGTCCAGGACCAGATGGATTCACAGCCAAATTCTACCAGAGGTACAAGGAGGAGCTGGTACCATTCCTTCTGAAACTATTCCAATCAATAGAAAAAGAGAGAATCCTCCCTAACTCATTTTATGAGGCCAGCATCATTCTGATACCAAAGCCTGGCAGAGACACAACAACAAAAAAAAGAATTTTAGACCAATATCCCTGATGAACATCAATGCGAAAATCCTCAATAAAATACTGGCAAACTGAATCCAGCAGCACATCAAAAAGTTTATCCATTGCAATCAAGTTGGCTTTGTCCCTGGGATGCAAGGCTGGTTCAACATATGCAAATCAATAAACATAATCCATCACATAAACTGAACCAATGACAAAAACCACATGATTATCTCAATAGATGCAGAAAAGGCCTTTGACAAAATTCAACAGCCCTTCATGCTAAAAACTCTCAATACACTAGATATTGATGAAACGTATCTCAAAATAATAAGAGCTATTTATGACAAACCCACAGTCAATATCATACTGAATGGGCAAAAACTGGAAGTATTCCCTTTGAAAACTGGCACAAGACAGGGATGCCGTCTCTCGCCACTCCTATTCAACATAATGTTGGAAGTTCTGGCCAGGGCAATCAGGCAAGAGAAAGAAATAAAGGGTATTCAATTAGGAAAAGAGGAAGTCAAATTGTCCCTGTTTGCAGATGACATGATTGTATATCTAGAAAACCCCATCATCTCAGCCCAAAATCTCCTTAAGCTGATAAGCAACTTCAGCAAAGTCTCAGGATATAAAATCAATGTGCAAGAATCACAAGCATTTCTGTACACCAATAACAGACAAACAGAGAGCCAAATCATGAGTGAACTCCCATTCACGATTGCTGCAAAGAGAATAAAATACCTAGGAATCCAACTTACAAAGGATATGAAGGACCTCTTCAAGGAGAACTACAAACCACTGCTCAACAAAATAAAAGAGGACACAAACAAATGGAAGAA
Source organism: Homo sapiens (assembly GCF_000001405.40). Taxonomy (NCBI): domain Eukaryota; kingdom Metazoa; phylum Chordata; class Mammalia; order Primates; family Hominidae; genus Homo; species Homo sapiens. The sequence goes on from NT_167247.2 coordinate 1,778,833, forward strand.
TATTCCATGCTCATGGATAGGAAAAATCAATATCGTGAAAATGGCCATATTGCCCAAGGTAATTTACACTTTCAATGCCATCCCCATCAAGCTACCAATGACTTTCTTCACAGAATTGGAAAAAGCTACTTTAAAGTTCATATGGAACCAAAAAAAAAGCCTGCATTGCCAATACAATCCTAAGCCAAAAGAACAAAGCTGGAGGCATCACGCTACTTGACTTCAAACTATACTACAAGGCTACAGTAACCACAACAGCATGGTACTGGTACCAAAACAGAGATATAGACCAATGGAACAGAACAGAGGCCTCAGAAATGACACCCCACATCTACAGCCATCTGATCTTTGACAAACCTGACAAAAACAAGAAATGGGGAAATGATTCCGTATTTAATAAATGGTGCTGGGAAAACTGGCTAGCCATATGTATAAAGCTGAAACAGGATCCCTTCCTTACACCTTATACAAAAATTAATTCAAGATGGATTAAAGAATTAAATGTTAGACCTAAAACCATAAAAACCCTAGAAGAAAACCTAGGCAATACCATTCAGGACATAGGCATGGGCAAGAACTTCATGACTAAAACACCAAAAGCAACGGCAACAAAAGCCAAAATAGACAAATGGGATCTAATTAAACTAAAGAGCTTCTGCACAGTAAAAGAAACTAATATCAGAGTGAACAAGCAACCTATAGAATGGGAGAAAATTTTTGCAATCTACCCATCTGACAAAGGGCTAATATCCAGAATCTACAAAGAACTTAAACAAATTTACAAGAAAGAAACAAACAACCCCATCAAAAAGTGGGCCAAGGATATAAACAGACACTTCTCAAAAGAAGACATTTATGCAGCCAATAGACACATGAAAAAATGCTCATCATCACTGGTCATCAGAGAAATGCAAATCAAAACCACAATGAGATAGCATTCATGCCAGTTAGAATGGTGATATTAAAAAGTCAGGAAACAACAGATACTGGAGAGGGTGTGGAGAAATAGGATCACTTTTACACTGTCAGTGGGAGTGTAAACTAGTTCAACCATTGTACAAGTCAGTGTGGCAATTCCTCAAGGATCTAGAACTAGAAATACCATTTGACCCAGTGATCCCATTACTGGGTATATACCCAAAGGATTATAAATCAGGCTACTATAAAGACACATGCACACATATGTTTATTGTGGCACTATTCACAATAGCAAAGACTTGACACCAACCCAAATGTCCATCAATGATAGACTGGATTAAGAAAATGTGGCACATATACACCATGGAATACTAAGCAGCCATAAAAAAGGATGAGTTCATGTCCTTTGCAGGGACATGGATGAAGTTGGAAACCATCATTCTGAGGAAACTATCACAAGGACAGAAAACCAAACACTGCATGTTCTCACTCATAGGTGGAAACTGAACAATGAGAACACTTGGACACAGGGCGGCGAACATCACACACCGGGGACAGTCATGGAGAGGGGGCTGGGAGAGGGATAGCATTAGGAGAAATACCTAATGTAAATGACGAGTTAATGGGTGCAGCAAACCAACATGTATACCTATGTAACAAACCTGCACATTGTGCACTTGTACTCTAGAACTTAAAGTATAATAAAAATAAATAAATAAAATTAAAAAGGAAAAAATATATATGTAGAATATATATATGTATTTATTTATTTATAGAAAGAGAAATTGAAAAAATTCTGAAAATAAATGATAATGGAAATGCAACATACCAAAACCTAAGGGATACAGTGAAAGTAATACTAAGAGGGAAGTTTATAGCTATAAGTAGCTACATCAAAAAAAAAAGAAAAACTTCAAATAAACAATACAACAATGCATCTTAAATAGCTAGAAAAGCAAGGGAAAACCAAACCCAAAATTAGTAGAAGAAAAGAAATATGAAGATCAGAACAAAAGTAAATGAGTTTGAAATGAAGAAAACAATACCAAAGATCAATGAAACAAAAAGTAAGTTTTTTGAAAAGTTAAACAAAATTGACAAATCATTAGCCAGACTAACAGAAAAAGACAGAAGACCCAAATAAATAAAATCAAACATGAAAAAAGAGACATTACAACTGATACTGCAGAAATTCAAAGGATCATCAGTGGCTACTATGGGCAACTACATGCCAATAAATTGGAAAACCTAGAAGAAATGGGTAGATTCCTAGATACATATAACCTACCAAGATTGAATGGTGAACAAAATCCAAAACCTGAACAGACCAATAGCAAGTAATCAGATAAAAGTCATAACAAAAAGTCTCCCAGCAAAGAAAAGCCCTGATGGCTTCACTGCTGAATTCTACCAAACATTTAAAGAAAAACTAATACCAATCCTGTTCAAACTGTTCCAAAAAATTCAGGAAGGAATACTTCCAAAATCATCCTACAAGGGCAGTATTACCCTGATACCAAAACCGGACAAAGACACATCAAAAAAAGGAAGCTATAGGCCAATATTACTGACAAATATTGTTGCAAAAATCCTCAACAAAATACTAGCAAATAAAAATCGACAACACATTAAAAAGATCATTCCTCATGACCAAGTGGGATTTATCCTAGGGATGCAAGGATGGTTCAAAATATGCAAGTCAATCAATGTGATACATCATATTCAACAGAATGAAAGACAAAAACCATATAATCATTTCAATTGATGCTGTAAAAACAGTCAATAAAATTCAACATTCCTTCATGATAAAGACTGTCAAAAAACTGAGTATAGAAGGAACATACCTTAACATAATAAGCCATTATGTACAACAAACCCACAGCTAGTATCATACTAAATGAATGGGGAAAAATTGAAGGCCTTTCCTCTAAGATCAGTAACACAACAAGGTTGCCTGCTTTCACCACCGTTATTGACCATAGTATTGGAAACCCTAGCTAGAGCAATCAGACAAGAGAAAGAAATAGAAGTCAAATTATCCTTGTTTGCAGATGATATAATCTTATATTTGGAAAAATCTACAAGACTCCACCAAAGAACTATTAGAACTGATAAACAAATTCAGTAAAGTTGCATAATACAAAATCAACATACAAAAATCAGTAGTAGCCAGGTACAGTGTCTCATGCCTATAATCTCAGCACTTTGGGAGATAGAGGAGGGTGTATCACTTGAGCCTGGAAGTTTAAGACCAGCCTAGGCAACTTAGGGAGACTGCATCTTTACCAAAAAAAAAAAAAAATTGTAATTAGCTGAGTGTGGTGACACGTGCCTGTGGTCCCAACTACTTGGCAGGCTGAGGTTGTAGGTTGAGACTGCAGTAAGTTGTAGTCATGCCACTGCACTCCAGCCTGGGAAATATGGCAGACCCTGTCTCTTAAAAAAGAAAAATTAATAAGGCGTGATAGTGCATACCTGTGGTCCCAGCTGCTCAGGAAGCTGAGGCAGGAGGACCACTTGAGCCCAAGAAGTCAAAGCAGCGGTGAGCTGTGTTCATACCACTGCACTCCAGACTGGGCGACAGAGCAAGACCCTGTCTCAGAAAAAAGGGAAACCCTGGACATTCCTACACCTGAGGCCTCTTCAATGGCTGCTGCCAATGACTTTGGCCACAAGGGATGATGTATGAAGGAAACATGGGCCCTGAAATAAAATTGGTCTGAATTTGAACATGGCCTTTACCATTTTTTTATTACTATGGACAAATTACCCTCATTACTGAGCATTGGTTTCTTAATATATAAACTGGGAGTAATATCCCCAATTAATAACAATGGGACATAGCAGGATGGGGTTGCCCTTTTCACCCTTTTCATCCCTCCTCTCACTCACTGGATGAGAGTTTCTACACAATAATCAATTGGTGCTGTGCTGTGCTGTGTCACTTTGCATCTGCTCATGAGAGGATATTTTGTCTTTAAGATGCCTACTCTAAAGATATGAAGAGCTAGGAAAATGGTAATTGCTGCCCTTAAGCAAGCACTTGGTGCAGTGGCAGAACAAAGTTGGAATTTTGGGGTTGGGGTAGACAAGGAAAGAGGGCTGCAGACTTAGGGAAGAAGAACACCTTGTTGGCCATGTGAGGAGCATCCAGCACTTGCTACAGTTAGTGGGAGCAAAACAGTACAGAGATAGGTAAATCATGCTGTGGACTGTGAGTATATTCTTGATCAGCCAGTGATTATTCCACTCTCTACTGCCTTTAATTGGAGATCTACATTAAGCTACACACACAAACACACACACAGCTTATCTGGGTAGGGATGAATAAGAAAACCGGTCCTTTTCACAAAGATCTGCAGCTGAAATTCACATCATCTGCATGGTCCAAAATGGGAATCCACTGATGCTGTAAGTCCATCCAGCCTAGTGGAGCATAGTGTGGGCTAGATAAGGATGATATGAAATAATGAATGCAAAACACCAGCACAGGAAGCGGAATATGGCACATGTGCAAAACACTGCCCATTCCTTGTAAAGCCAAAATAGTATGTATTTATTTAAAGGACCTGGGTCTTCGAGTCAGACAGACCTGGATATCCTGGGACTGCTCTGATCAGCATGACATACAGAAAGCTATTTGAGGCTTCATAGAGCTCAGTTCTTTGTCTGTAAATACTTTCTTTTGTGTGAAAATTAAATTAAATAGCAATAGGGCTTGTAACACATTTGACACAATTGCTGGTACTGCAATTTGTGGTGCTAATGACAACGTTAGTGATGATGATTTTCTTCTGTAGGGCACCATGTTCTCTAGGGAATGGTGAATTCTAGAGGCCAAGTCTTACCCTAAAGTTCCATGTCACCCTATGAAAAAGCATTTGGGATAAAACAGGCTTTTGAGTCCCTCTAAAAACAGAGCATGTGAGTAGTTGGTATGGGGATCCGAGTTGGGTTGGGGAAAGAGGCAATTATTTTTATTCCCTTCAGTATGTTCTATCCTCTCTGATATTTCTAAATTATCTACACTTTCTCCATCAACATTCCCTTTTTAATTTGTAAATATAACTTTTTCTCATTATAATGTAATATATATTCACTGCAGAAAAATTACCAAATATTTCAAATGATCAATTACAAATTTAAACTATCCCATGATCCTTACAGCAGAGATATGTGGTTTCATTTCCTTCTAGTCAGTTATATATTTTCCTGCTGCTGCCCCATTACTGGATGTGTGCCATTCTCTCTCTCTCTCTATCTCTCTCTCTCTCTCTCTCTCTCTCTCTCTCTCTCTCTCCCCCACCCCCAAAGTTATGACCACAGACCTCAGTGGCCCACAGCCCTGCACTCTCCAAATGCCATCTCCCAGGTCAGTTCACTCTTACAATTCCTCAGGGGGCTGTTTCTCACTTTGTTCTCTGCCCTCACATCCCTCCACTCCTTCCACACTCCCTATTTTTAGGTTATACATTTATTTCTCTTTCACGCAGGAAAAAAAGGAGGACCCAGGTGAGAAATGCATCACCATCCCATTACTATCCCCAAATCTGCACTTGTATCCTCAGCCTTCCCACCAGTGATGATGGATGATCCCCGCTCCTAAGACCACCCCTGCACTCAAGCATAAGATCAATCCTTCCTTCCCCTATATCATCAATTTCCACTCTCTACTGGCCCATCATTTCTACAGGCAGACGTGCTGTAATATCTCCCCCCAAAAAAACAAACAAAACTGGACTAAACAAATCAAAACAAAATCTTCCCATCGAAATTTATCCCTTGATCTCTGATCCCATGTCTCCCTGCAACTACTGCCCTATACTATGGCAGTCTTCATAGGACAATCTCTGAGTCTATTCTTCATGTAGTCTTTTGAAACATTGCATTTTTTGTTGTTTGTTTGTTTGTTTGTTTTTTTGATACGGGGTCTCCTTGTGTTGCCCTGGCTGGTCTTGAACTCCTGGGCTCAAGCAATTCTCTTTCCTTAGCCTCCAAAGCACTAGGATTATAGGCTTGAGCCACCACACTTGGCCTGATAGTATAATGTTCTTACACTTTTTCTTTCTTTTTTGCAAACATTTTTCCATTTTATTATGACTTTTGTCTTCCAAATTATCTAATGAATTGTTCATTTCTATGATTCTGTAATCACATTTTTAATTTCCAGAGCTCGTTCTTGTGTATAATTTTACATAAATGAGTTCCTATTTCATAAATGCCACTTATTTTCTTACATCCTTTATATATTATTGATAATAGTAGCAGGGGACTTGTTGGGTCTCCTTGTTATCTTCTTTCACGATATTATGAAATTTTCTCTCAGAATTCATAAATGTAGTGGTTTCACATTTATCTTGGTAATTTTTGCTAAATGTCCGTCTCTCTCATGACAGTGCAAGCTCCATATCATCAAGATCTTACTTTAGCTCTTCTTCTATCTTCAATGTCTAGCTAATATCTTGATTCACCTTGAAATATACACCGGATGATGGACTTTAGTGTGGTGTGGGCAGTGAAGTCACACATGCCCTTTTGTCCTCCCGAGCTCTAAGCCTAGCAGCTGCCTGTCATAGAATGTTCACGGACATTGAAATGGTTCACTTGCATGGGGTGCAGAGTCACACTCACCTACCTTATGGGCAGAGCATCAACAAAAGATGAGTCAATTCGGTGTCTGAGAGAAGATCTCCTGGCTTCAATCCAGCTTCACCACCTCCTCAACCTCTCTGAGTCACATAGTAGATTCCTGATGGGTTTTCTCTGATGATTAAATTATATATTGTCTATGTATTATACACATTATTACTGACTGAGACATATTAAGTGTCCACAATTCATAGCTAACATCATATTGATTATACTATTTTGGTTGTTTTCATTCTTTTGTTTTATAAACGATAATTCAAGGAATATTCTTGTTATATATTTTTAAAAACGTGTGATTTTCTTCTTAGGCTACATTTTTAGAAGATAAGTTTTTTGCATCAACATGATCTTCTTGAGACATTTTCCAAAAATGCTCTTTAGACACTGGGGTGTTTTTTCTTTGAGATGGGGTCTCACTCTGTTCCTCAGGCTGGAGTGCAGTGGTGTGATCACAGCTCACTGTAGCCTTGACCTCCCCGGCTCAGGCGATCCTCCTGGGACTACAGGAGGGTGCCACCATGCCTAATTTTTTTTGTATTTTTTGTAGAGATGGGGTTTCGCCATGTTGCCCTGGCTGGTCTGGAACTCCTGGACTCAAGCAATCTGCCCACCTCAGCTTCCCAAAGTGCTGGGATTACAGGCATTAAGCCAACATGCCTGACTCTTTAGAAATTGTATGCCAGTATTTAATCCCATCAACTTTTATGACAGTAAATTTCCCCTATTCTCCACTCAATATTATTATCTTTGACTTTCATCTTTGCCAAGCTAAGATATATTAAACTTCCATCCCATTTCCTAATCCACATTTTAATTTTGTTGACATTTACTTATTACTATTATATTTGACACTTGCATTTTCTATGCCAAATTATGCTCTAATATTCATTAATCCTTTTCCAAATGGGACGTAGATATTTTTAAATGTTGAATTTAAGAAAGAAAACAAGAAGCCTCTGATATCTAGGAACTGATCTGACACTTATGGCTGGGACTCCTTGTTATATGAAGCTGGCCCAATGTTCATTGTTAAGCCATGTTATTCTCCTATTGGACCACAATCACCACAAAACACCAACATTAGAAAGTTCACTCTGAGATGATGATAAAGTGAGGAAATACAAGAACACTTCATAATTTTGTCTAAGCACTCTCTCCACTAATACCAGGGGCTGATGCTTGTCTACCAATTACAGCTTTATTCTGCTCTAGTCCACCCTCACTAGAGCTAAGATTTGTTGAGACATTCAATTACAGAATTGCCCCTGCTTCCTGACGAGTACCCAATCTAGAGTGAAGCCCACTTCCTCACCCTCCCCAGGATCACCCAACCAAAGCCCAAATCCTTTAAGAATTTCTTTCTAACACCCTCTTACCAAAACACCACATGGCTCACAGCACCTATTCTTGCACTCAGGAACCAGTAATAAACCCAACTTCTTCACCCACTAGGATATGTTCCTAGTGGACTTTGGAAGAAAGCTTCGGACGCATTATTATTTTGTCTATAAATTTTTTATGTGTCTTTGAGGTTGATTATGAGAAACTGTCTGTATATATCTATGTTTGTGGTTACCAAAGAGAAGTTTTTTAATTTATAAGTACTTAAAACTACCCTCATACTTCTTTATGGTGTTTATTTTTAGGTCATGCTTAGAGAATCCTTCTTCACTGCCCAATTGTAGACACTTCATGTATTGTTCCAGCTAGGTTGTGACAATGAGGAAAGAGGAGTCCAAGGGTGAAGAAAACAAAATTGTTGGAATACAAGGGGAGGAGGGGCAGCAGGTAAAGAATTCTAAGGTTTAAGTCTCTTGTTTTATAATTTAAAAAATATGTCTACAGAGCCTTCAGGATACTTGACATATGTCATATCCAATAGTTTGTCTTGAGAAAAATGGATACTTATCTTCTCCTTGTATTCACCTGGTTAAAGCAAACAATAACAACAGAATTCCAGTGCAATATAGACAATGATTAGCCCTGGCAATGGGCATTTTTGAACACTTAAAATGTTGAGGTGATAAATCATGTTTCGGTTAATGTCTGTACCCTCCACTTATACATATACATATTAATTAGACTTTCGTGGGCTTGCTGTGTTTTAAGGACGTGTCTAAGGCCCATGTGGACAAATCCGTGACTTCTCGATGAAGATAATTTAATATATATTCAATCTGAGAGTCCCACCATATATTTTGGGGGAGATTGAAAACTATGAGCACTCTAGATATGCACTGTTAAATATGGTAACTACTGGGCATACATAGTGTAGGGTTTGTTTTTGTTTGTTTGTTTTCATTATTAGTACAAATCCATTCAATGGGCAAGATAGACCAATCTATTTTAACATAACAGAATACAAATAGTCAATGATAGGGTTTCAGGTTGTATCTAACCTTTAAGAAATTATCACTTGCTAGGACTTCCAGTACTATGTTGAAAGAAGTGGTGAAAGTGGGCGTCCTCGTCTTGTTCCAGTTCTCAGGGGGAATGCTTTCATCTTTTCTCTGTGCAGTATAAGGTTGGCTGTGGGTGTGTCATAAAGGGCTTTTATTACTTTAAGGTATGTCCCTTCTATGCTGATTTTGCTGAGGCTTTTAATCATAAAGGGATGCTGGATTTTATCGAATACTTTTTCTGCATTTTATTGAAACGATTATTTCAGAGAGAGAGAGAGAGAGGGAGGGAGGGAGGGAGAGAGAGAGAGAGAGAGATGGGGTGAAGGAACAGGCTGGGAACCTGGGAGGAGACCCGGCCGCAGGCGCGCAGCCTGGAGGCGATGGTGAGCCCTGCCACGCGTGAGTCACGGACCACCCCCGCCGCGCTCTGCTCCCCGCCTGGCTCTCTTCTTCCCAGCCCCTCCCTTCCTCCTCCTGCTCCACTGATCCCTACTCAGGCTTCTTTCGCTGAAGAATTCCAGAAGGGACAGAACTAAGGATGAAGTGTGGCATTTGAACAGGGTTTACGGCTAGATCCTAGGAGGTCATTCTAAGGGTTTACATTGCATCACCGTCTGTGGTTACAAAGAGCTTTCCGGGAGAACTTTCCATTTGTAGGTTTGGTCAGGGAGACCCTGTGATCACCCCAGTGCCCAGAGAAGGAAACTGAAGCCCAGGGTTCTGCAGAGGCTTGCCCAGGCTACACAGATCTTCAGCTAGATTCGAATAGTTAAAAATCCAGGTGATCAAAGGCGGAGCAGCGTCTTCCAAGAGCCCGGAGAGAGAGGACACCCCACTCCTGGACGTTATATTCTGCAGCCCGCTGCTGGGAAATCCCAAGGGGTATGCGACCAGGTTGGAGTATCCTGGGCCCAGGGCCCACGAAAATGGCTTTCACTGTTGGAGGGGATCTTGAATCCAGAATCTGTTCCCAAAAAAGAGAAAGAAAAGCAGATTTGGGTGACCTCAAAAGTTTCAAACTACCTTCCCACGTATCCTAAAAAAAAAAAAAAAAAAAAAAAAAAAAAAAAAAAAAAAACCTTCATTTTTAATATATAAAGACACTGAAAATTCAACAGTTTAAAAAAATCAATAAAATAGGAAAGTGGACAAAACACATGACAAATATTTCTTTTAAAATGATATGTAGATGGGAAGTGAGGACACAAAAATGTGGTCCATATGCGGAGCTTGCAGTGAGCCGAGATCGCGCCACTGCACTCCAGCCGGGGCCACAGAGCGAGACTCCATCTCAAAAAAAAAAAAAAAAAAAAAAAAATGTGGTCCATATGATTCATCATTGGGGAAATGTAATTAAAACCATTATGAGATATTACTACACCCCTATCAGAATGAATAAAATAAGAAATAGAAATAACACCACATGCTGGATGTGGAGAAAATGGCTGAATCACTCATTGCTGGTGGGAATGTAAAATGGTACAGCCACTCTAGAAACTAGAGTATGGCGAAAAAAAAAAAAACTAAACATGCCATTGCACTCTAGGGCATTTATCCCAGAGAAATGAACACTTAAGTTCACACCGAAATCAGCATACAGCATATAAAGGTTCGTAGCAGAGCAGAGACCTGAGCAGGAAAAAAAAAAAAAAAAAAAAAAACCCACTGTCACAGCCAGACAGAATCAGTTCTGGAAACTCCCAAAAGAACTAGAAGCCACCAAGACCGGCAGCCCACCTTGGGCAGTGACAGTTTCTGCTCAAGGGAGACACAACCTGAAGAAGGAAAACAAGACCAAAATTGAGAAGCAATCTTTTAATCACAGTGTTTGCAAACACATAGCCAGGAAAGAATGTTAGCACAGAGGTCAGAAAGGCAGTCACTCATGGAGCTAGGAAAGGGAAGAGGTGTGATGGGAGGGGGCAAGCAAGGCATTTGTGGGACACTGGACAACTGTGCTTCTTGACCTAGGTGGTGCTTGTGTGGTCATAGTCGCTAGTTAAATATTGTGTACATTTGTAAGTAACTTTTCTGCATATATTTTATATCTCACAAAAAAAGAAAAGAGATCAGACTCCTCCCAGAAAAACAATGAAAGAAGGAGGTGTCACACCAAGATCAGTCAAACCTCCTTCCTACATTTGTAAATCCATCCAAGCACTAGCTCTGTGACCCTCAGTTTCCTCATCTCTATTGAGACTCAGCATCTGCAAGAGTTTAAGAACAAGACCATGGGTAGATCATACTGTCATAAAATAGAATCTGTTTCTTGTGATACAACATGAGGGACCCCACCTCACCCCCCAAAATAGGTACTGAACAAAGGTTCCTATTCCCAGAAACCCCCTCTTCCATCTTTGGATTCATCCCTGAGATTGCAGAATGCTTCTGGCTGAAGGCAAAGCCCCATCTTTATGATTCCCCTCCTCCTTCGTCCACCTCTCCAAGATGTAGGCTTCTCCCTCATGCCTCAGACTCCAGGGCCTGTTCCAGGGTCAGGATCATAGTTCCCTTCTTCAGAGAGGAACTCTTAATGAAGCTGACCCAATTTGCTCTGGAGAGCACTGGAGGCACCTGCTAAGCCTCTCCCTTCAGTGGAGAGAAATTCCAGTGGAATCCCAGAGACCCTTGGCAAACCCACTGCAGACCACCCTGCTGAACCCATCTCCACACTCACCACTGCAAGGAAACTTCAAACTGAGTTCTACTAAAAAGCAATTTCGGCTCTTACACTTCCTCTTTAGTGTTCTTCTAGCTTACTAGGCAAGTAACCACAGTGTGCCTCCATTAATTAATAAATCCCCAAAACACTGGTCTTATGAACAGTGTATTGATCAGGGCTCTCCACAGAAGCAGAATGAATAGGCGACATATATCTCCAGTTGATCTGATGAGGCCCACTCACATTATGGAGGGCAATGTACATTAGTCAATTCCACTGATTTAAATGTAAATCATTTTTCGAACACACTCATGGGAATACCTAGAATAATGTTTGGCCAAATATCTGGGCTCCTTCGTGACCCAGTCATGTTGAGAAATCAAATTAATCCTCACAAGGAACAAATCAGATAATATTCACTTGGATATTAGACTAGAGCCTTGGACATACCAAGTGCTCTGTAAATGTTAGCCTTACAAATGTAAGGTGGTGTTTTAGATTTACAGAACACAGTATATCCTAAGGTATCACAGGCTTGTTGATGAACTCTGTTGGGAAAAATAATACATGGGAAATTTAGTTGTGGAAATTGAATTTTGTTATTTTATTTTTGTCTTTGCTTTTCTGTGTGAGTGAAGGAGTATAAGGCAAATTTCTGAGCACACGGGGCATGCACTAAAGGGGTTTCATTTGGCATTTGGAGCCAGTTTTGTCACACTATAGGAAAACTAAACCGTTATTTAAGAACTTCCCTGCCAGCTCTCACGTTGGGGACTGGCTGGTCCATCTAGCCTGGTTGGTTGATTCCAAAAATATGTGTAGGGAGGTAGAGTGACTAAACGTGAAGAATGGGGAACTCTGGAAGTGCAGAATTGAAGCCCAGAAGGGAACAGAAGCCTCCCTCTACTTCACAGAAGATGACTAGGACATGCTCATCCCTGGGATAGAAAATCCATTGGACTTGGAGACTCAGTGAGTTGTATTCCCGATCTCACCACTGGAGGGAGGTGGGAGAGGCATATGAGTGAGTGTGGAGGGGCTCAGAAGCCCAGCCAGCTAGTGTGCAGGTTGCCCTGCAGATTCTCACCAGGGCTGCTCTGAAGCCCAGAGGGCACCCCAGAGGAGGAAGGGAATGACAAAGCCTGCCTGGGGTCACAGGAAAAGAGGAGAGAGGCAGACTGAAGGAAGCCCAAGACTACAAAGTGAAAGAAAATGCCTTTTAGTCACTCAAGACATTGTCAGACACAGACTGGGAGCAGTGGCTCACACCTATAATATTAGCACTATGGTAGGCTGAGGTGAGGCCGGGAGTTCAAGACCAGCCTGGACAACAATGCAAGACCCTATCTCTACAAGAAATAAATTAATAAAAGACTTCTTCGGACATGACTAGAACCCAAGAGGTGGGTACCTGGTAGAGTTATATGGGAAGAATGGAGCAATGGGTTTGGCAGTTGGGGTGGGGAAACAGGGAGGATGGGAATGAAAAAAACTCTTGAGGGTAGATGATGGTGCCAGTCTGAGAATCAAGCACCAGTTCCATTCTACTGTGCATCTAGTCACGTTGGCATAGACTTCCAGGCAGGAGGAGGAGCAAGCGGTGGGATCAGCTACATGTGGGCTTCCAAAGGTAATCCCAGGTGCCACCTCTCCTCCATACTTACTAGGAATCCCAGGCCCTTCCCTGAAGTGACACCATCCTGCATTCTTTGTACCTCTCTTTCCACTTCTTCTCACAGCTTTTCCCTCCCTCCTCCATTCTCCTGGCCAGGACCCACACTCACCCCACCTAACCTCTCTCTTTTGATCAGTCCCATAGTTCAGAAAGGAACAGAAATGCCAGCTGAATAAAAATTTATTTCGTGCTCTCTGGGCATGTATTTGAGAACAATAACATTGTTTCCGGTCTCAATGCACTTTCACCACATCTGATTTTCAGCTATGTGGGGAAGGCCATCTATCTGATCAACCCATCACCCAGTGAAGGAAACTGAGGCCCAGAGCCCTGAGGATGCTTGCCCAAATCACCCTGCCCTTCAGCTAAATCACCCAGAACAGGATCTTGCAAGGGCCCTAAGAGTCAGAGAAGACAGCAGCCCCTCGTGTTGGATTCTCCTGCCTGCCCAGGAAACTGGGTGGGAACCATTCAGATTCTTCCTGCATGAAAAGGGTGACCTGTGTCCTTGGGGATCCTCCAGTGGCCCTAGTTGCTCCTGCTGGGGATGACCTCAACTCCTGAATCCAACCCTGTAAAATAAGAAGAAATTCAGACATTGCAAGGCATGAAAAATTTTCTCCCAATAGCAAAGGTGAAGGATGTACTCGGAGAGGAGGGAACATACCAAGAAGAGAAGGAAGGAATATATATTGAAAAGAATACAAAACAAAAATAAACAGACCAAGACGTGGGATGTATAGAATCAGGCATCAACCCATGAAAAGGTGAAAAGGTGAAAAGGCAACAGGACCAGAAAGGAAGAGGGTCGCCTGGGTGGGTGGACAGCACAGCAGAGGGGACGCCATCTCCAAGAAGATGACCTTGACAAGAGCCACCATAAGTTTAAAGGTATGGAGAAGACATTTACTCAACTAAGGGACAGTTGGTGAATTCATTTGTTAAGGTTCATGGAAAGTAAGAAAATGAAAACGCCGGGCAATTATCAATTCTCTGAAAACATCAACATGTATGGAAAGAAAAACTAAGAGAGTTTACCATGTGGCTCAGGTCTGAGTAGCATTCACGTAAGTCAGTAATTTTAACTCTGGCTCTCAATGCACTCAAAATCTCCACCTGCCTACATGAGGAGGATGAAAATGTGTGTGCTGTGGAAGGTACTATGGACTGAAGGGATTTTGAAAAGTCAATACTTAATATCTAAAATGGAAATGTTTGAAGTGGCATAAATGTATATTATCAAGAGACATAAAGATAAAGAACAACATATGAAGTAAAAGGCTTCTATGTGGTTGTTTGCCAGGAAGCTGGTGGCTAGGAAGGATTGAGAGGGAGTAGAGGGGAGACCATGTTTTGTAACAGGGGAAATGAAAGGGAAGCAGGTAGCACCTGGAGCCTGCCTCATGTAGAGAACAGGGTTCCACGCAGTGGTCCAGGATCTCAGGGACTTACTGTGGCTGAGGCCACCTGCCCCCAGGACAAGCCCTTGGCACTGAGTCTACTGAAATGTGGGCAGGGAGAAGAGGAGGCCTTCGGACCTTTTACCTGAGCAGCCTGGTTTACTCTAGGCTCTTCTTGTTTCCTGTCCAGAGATTAATGCAACAAACTGTCTCCAAATTCATCCAAGGGAGTGGAGTTCCTTCCCCTACTCCCGATCCCCCTCAACACCATCCTTTCTGGAAGTGTTATTCTGAACATGTTCTCGGATTTGTTTTTATCAGTGGAGAAAGAGAGGATAGAAGAGCACTCACCCAGCAGAGCCAGAGGGAGGCAGCTCCAAGGACTCCAGTGGCCACCAGAGCCCACCAGGACCCAGGGCTGGAGGTGCACAGTGAGATCCTCAGCGCAGAGGGAGAAATCTCCTAAGGGTAGGAAGGAATAACAGAATTGGGGAGCATTTCCTTACTTCACAGCAAGTGCAAACATGATGGGAAGGCATAGAGAAAAAGGAAGAAATTATAGGGAAATGTGCTTATTTAGGGGGAGGCAATACTGCGGGAGGGGTACAACAGACCCAGCACTGGTGGGGGCTAGGAGAAACAGGTATAATCCTTGACTAGAGAATGGATACTTGAGGTCAGAATAGTTACTAAATGAAGAGGATTACATACATTTTAAGGACGTTGATTTACGTTATACTTTGTCATTGGAATTTAAGGGAAAAGAAAGGAAATTAATAAATAAAAACAGGCTGCATGTGGTAAAATCAATAGTCAGCCCTGGGACTTGTGTTTGCAAAATGCTTTATCCAGGTGCGACACCGCTGACGTCCTGGATTCCCCACCCTCTAGCACCCAGTTCCCTCTCCTGTAATGAGACCGGGGTCAGGAGGAGAGATGGACAGATGAGCCCATGCTGAAGGCAGTCAGTCATCTGTGCCTGCAGATGAGAAACTGCAGTTTGCACCACTAGCCTCCAGCACAGAGATTCCATCCCAGCTCAGTATTTAGTATTTAGAGATGTAGTATTTAGTATTTAGAGATTCCTAAACACTTAGGGGCTCTGCCCAGTCTCCTTCCTCACACTGTGGGGCCTTGGCTTTCCCTCCCAACTCCACACCCCCAAATGCTGGTACAATGCTCAGGTTCATCCTGGACACCGCTCCATCCGACAGGGGAACACTTTTGATCCAGACGCTTTGACAACCTCGTTCAGTCTCCTCTGGAGAGAGCCGCCAAACCCTTTGCTGATGAGCTGAGACTGACCGGGGAACTGTGATCTCGGATGTGGTTGAGGATCAAAATCAAAATTATAGTCGACTCTTAAAGACCAAGTAGGCTCTAACCACGGAATTCCTCTCTACCCACTGATTCCCCCAAAAGAGGAAGAAGCCTCTTCTCTAAGTACACTAAGCTGAAAAACTAAGCTGAAGTACTAAGTACATTCAGCTTTCACTAAGCTGAAACAGCAAAGCGCTGAAACAGCAAACCGCAGGCATAACAGAAAAACCTCAACTTAAATAGTGCTGAGCTGCAACTTGTTTTCCGCGGCTTGTAGTCGAGGAGGAGCCCACGAGGCTTTAGCTGCTGCAAGATCCAAGCGCGCTCCCGCCCAGCGGTGGCCCCGGGCTCAGGGAACCAGCGCTGCTTCTCTCCGAGGCTCGCGGCCTGAGAAACCTTCCGCTCCGAATGCGGGCTGGCCTCTCCGGGAAGCCTTGAAACTCAACTCCTGGGTGGGCCAGGAAGGTTGTCCGAGTTGGGCAGCGCCGGCCGGGGCCCCCCTCAGAGCCGAGCTGCTCGCCTCCCTCGAGACCCAGCGCAGCCTGGAGGAGAGACCGGGTCCTCTCAGGTGGGGCACTTGGTGACTAGAGACCCCATGAGCCCCCACCCTCCAGCCTGGGGCGGGATAGCCCAATCGGATGCTGGGGGGTCCGTTTGGAAACCACTCTCTGCTTTGAGGACACGCGCGGAGCTTCCCTGGGAGCAGGAGGCTCTGAAGGAAGAGGGGCAGACGCGAAGCCTCTGGCCAGCCGCGCCTCCGGTCCAGGCCTCCCTGTGTCCACATCAGGTCTCCCGGCTTTTCACAACAGTGACCTTGACAGCGCCCAGAGTCCGCGGCTTCCATCCAGTCCCCTCTTCCCCTGCGAGGCCGAGAGGGTGCAGAGCTGGTGGCTTCAGGAGGTGGCTGTGAGCGCGGGTCTGGGGCCAAGAGCAGAGGACAGGAGAAGACTGCCAAGCCACCACCGGTCCTGCGACATATTCACCAGCTGCCGGCGGCGAGGTCAGACCCCAGATTCGGGTTTGCCCAGCAGGCGCTCGGCGTCCATGCTCGCTCTCCACCTCCCTGCCTCTCTTAAGGAGGACCTGGCCCATTAGGAAGCCCGGGGCGTTCTGTGGACTGGGTGGTCAAAAATGGTGTGTGGAGGAGGGAGTCAATTGAGATTAGACGTGAAAAACGGGGAACCTGGGGACCGCAGGTTGGGGCCCAGGAGAGGACCGAAGCTTCCATCCAAGACTAAGTGAGGAACACTGAGGCAAGAGGAAGGAAGATTGAGTCGCAGTTGACTTGTGGATTTTATCGGTTTTAGTCCCTGTGTGACCGCCAGAAGTCTGCAGCTTTATCCTTGATGAGTTCTGAAGGCCCCTGAGGAGAGCTGAGCCCAAGAGACTTTTTAATTCCACGGAGGTACTTCGCCTGAGGCAGGTCTCTTCTGTGCCCAGGGAAGGAAGGCTGGGAGTGAGGGTATCTGAAAATATTCACATGAGAAAAGGTCAAGTCCATTTTTGCTATCCTGTACTGAACACAGATCAATTAACTGGTCCCAGGATTGATAGCAACAGGCCTATAACTGGTCTCCTGGTTCCTATCCAGCCCTTCCCCCATAAAGTCAGAATCCTGTCTTCTTGGAACAGTGAATCCCCAGCAGAGGACCTCAGCCTGGGCTGCCTGGAACCTGCTACCCTGCCCAGGAGCTGTCAACACCTGGAGCGCAGTGCAGGAAGAATGCAGGGGCGCTTGGTGGGGAGGTGAGTGAGTGCAGAGGGTCTCCGGGAACTCCTTGGGCCTTTGGGGTAGCTCCCTCTCAGACTGTCCTGCAGGTCCTTACAAGGCCCACTACTGAGCAGGAAGAATGTCCCCAGGAGAGGCAAAGGGTGGGGCAAAGGCGGGTATGGGGTCGCTTGCACTTTGCAGCAAACTGGAGAGTGAGATGACAGGCAAGGAGTACTGGCCCTCACATGGAAACCTATATCACACTGCCCAAAGGGAATAGGAAAGGAACCACAGCGAGGTCCACAGGGGAGGGCTGGGGGAAGCCTTACCCAGGGCGGCGAGTGCAGCCTCAGTGGCAGAAATCCCAGCGGGCCCCCTCCTGCTGCAGACCCCGCTCCTCCTGCGAGGCCCCAGACGAAGCCCGACCCCCAGCTGCCTGCGCAGCCTCCAGGCAGGGGTCGCGGGGTGCTTCGGCGAGAGAGTCTGGGCCAAAGCGCCAAAATCCGCCGCTGTCGCTCAGCCGCAGCCTGTTTGGGGCTGGGGAGCCTCTCCTGGTCGGTGATCGTCGCGGACAATAGACGAGACCAGAAATTAGATTTGGTTCCGGGATCAAGAACCTTTAATCAGGGAATGGAGATGGCAGGGGACGAGGCCTAAGAGATGTAGACAGCAGGTCCTGTCTGCTTAGGTCGCAAAGGGGAAGAAGGGGCGGGACTCGGGGTCCTGGACTGGGGCTGGGAAGGGTCCGCTCCAGGAGGGTGTGGGTTCCGATGCCTGGGTCCTGGAGGTCCGGGGAGTCGCGGAGGGACCTCCCTCCGGTAACCGACGGATTGGGGACAAATGCTCTGCCCAGTCTGATCCCAGACATCCTTGTAACCCAATATAGTTACAGCTCCGACGCCATGTTCTTCCTGGGTCCAGCTCCAACGCCATGTCCTTCCTGGGTCCCTCCAAAGTAGGGTTGGAGGATCAACTAGTGGATTCCGGCGAGGAGGTATCTTCCTCCCTGGAAGCAGCAGAACAAATTTCAGGGACTCGGGAGTCCAAGGCCTCATTCCAAAAACACTGAGAGATTGGGTACTGGGCGCACAGTATGTCTGTGGGGTCACGCAGACCTGGGAACCAGATCTTAGGGCCTGCAGACCTCCCTCTGCCTTGAGATCAGACTCCACCGCCAGTAACTGGGAGGAAACATCTGTACTCCAGGATTTAGAGACACCGACACGGGAGCAGGGCGCCCCCGTGTGCACAGAGCCCTGTTCTGCAGCTGGAAACCGAACGGGACCCTGTGGAAGTCGCGGGTGGGGAAGCGAAAGGGGAGCTGAGCGTCTGTCCTCAGTCCTTGGGCCACACGGGGGCGCTGCCGCTCTGCGCTCGGATTCTGATGAGCCGCTCTGGAGAGGATGGGGCGGTGGTCTGAGTAAGACACAGATTGTTGATCCAGAAAGGATGTATCAATGAGGTGGGGCTGGGGTTGTCCAGGGAGTGGAAAGGCCTTCTGAGAAGCCCTGGACTGCGCGGGGTTCCGGCTCTGCGGAACAGAGGAGGGCTCTGGAGCGGCCTGTCTCTGAGGTTTCCAACTCCTCCTTGCAAACCCTCCCTCCAGCCTTTTCATGGCAACACTCCAGGAAAATGGAAAGTTGATCATTTTTTTCTTCCACTCCTTAATCCTTTCCTGACTGCTACTTTTAAATAATTTTATTTTAGAAGAGTTTTAAATTTACATAAAAGTTGCAATGGTAGTACAGAGTTGCCATCCGCTCCACAGTCAGTTTCCCCTGATGTTAACATCTCTCATTACTATGGTCCATTTGTCACAGCTAATGAAGCCATTTTCATACCTTATTATTACTAAACTGCAGACTTTATTTGGAGTTCATTAGCGTTCCCCTAATGTCCTTTCTGTGTTTCAGGATTCCATGGAGAATATCACACTACATTTAGTCTCCGTCGTGCCTCCGCGGCATCCTCTGGTCTGTGACAGTTCCTGAGATTTTCCTAATTTTTGATGCCCTTCACAATATTGGGAAGTACTGACCAGATATATTGTAAAATGTCCCTCAAACTGAATTTAGTTGGGGTGTAGATCATGGTTAGACTATGGTTATGGGTGTTTAGATGAGGTGAAGTGCTATTCTCCAAACACCTTATCAAGGTTATAGAATATCAATTTCATGTACCACTGTTGATGTTGAAGTTGATCACCTGGTATATTAGCTTCCTGTAGCTGCCACAACAAATGCCCTCAAAGTTGGCAACTTACAACAACAGAAAATTATTCTTTCACAGTTCTGGAGGCCCAAACTGCAAAATCAATATGCAGGGCCTCACTCCCTCTGAAAGCTCTAAGAGCAAATCCATTCCTTGAGTCCTCCAGCTCTGGCAGCTGCAGGGCATTGGTCAGCGTTCTTTGGCTTGTAGCCCCATTGCTCTAGTCTCTGCCTCATTCTTCACATCACCTTCTCCTCTTCTGACTCTCTCTTCTGTGTACCTGTTAGAAAGACACTTGTCATTGGATCTAGAGCCCACCTGGGTCATCTAGGAGGATCTCCTCATTTCAGTATCCTCCGCTTAATTACATCTGCAAAGACCCTTTTTTTCCAAACAACTTGACATTCACAGCTGCTGGGCACTAAGACAGAAACATATCTTTATGGGGTCCACCATTCAACCCACTACATCTGGCTAAGCTAATATTTCCAGAATGGCAATCCATCAGTGCACCCTAGGTTACAATCCTCATTCTCATTCCCAAATAAACTCAACATATTTGGACATTTCTAATGTCATGTTTTTTAGGTTGAATAATCTAGTGTCAGAAATGATCCTGAAGAAAGATTATCTTTGGAAGAGACTTATACTGAGTTTGTTGCTTGATTTTTCCTCTGCTTCTGAATATCTTTTGAGAGCAAAATTTACTTTCTAAAATGGTAAGGATGAGTCAACTCCTTAAAAGCTGTTTGGGCTGTTGTCACCATTCTATGTGAGCCTTCAGTCTCCCCAAAGAGAAATTTTTTGTTGTCAGGATAAAGTGGTACATGAATAAACAAGATTTCCATTAGGCAGCGTGCCAGTCTCAAGAAAATTCTGGAGAAAATGGTGACAGGATAGACAATTAGATCACAGGCTGCCTGCACATCAAGTAAAAACAAAAATCCTATGCTAGGCACACACTATTAAAAAACAAATCGCTCCAACCCCTACCATTTCCTCACAGAGATTATAGAATTTTTCTTTTGCTGTTGAGAAATTAATAAGAGGCAGAACAGGATGCCAAAACTCCAAAGCATCCAATATAGGCCCTCTTCTGGGACTCCTGTCAGCTATATGTTCAAAAATTATTGTCAGTGGCTCATGCCTGTAATCCCAGCACCTTGGGAGGCCGAGGTGGAAAGATTGCTTAAGCTCATGAGTTTGAAACCATCCTGGGCAACATAGCAAGAGTTCATCTCTATTTTAAAAAATTAAGGCCGGTCGTGGTGCCTCACGCCTGTAATCCCAGCATTTTGGGAGGCCCAGGCAAGCGGATCGCCTGAATTTGGGAGTTGGAGGCCAACCTGACCAACATGGAGAAACCCCGTGTCTAATAAAAATACAAATTCAGCCAGATGTGGTTGCGCATACCTGTAATCCCAGCTACTCGGGAGGCTGCGGCAGGAGTACAGCTTGAACTCGGGAGGCAGAGGTTGCAGTGAGCCGAGATCATGCCATTGCACTCCAGCGTGGGAGAAAAGAGGGAAACTTCATGTCAAAAAAAAATAAAAATAAATAAGAAAAGAAAAAAATTAAGGTCGTCTCTTGTGTACTTTTTAAAATCAATGGATAGAGTATAGCAAAGTTAATTTGGATCTTCAATGGCCATCCTTGGGGTCTTTTGAGTTCCCCAAACTTGTCTTTCTTAAAACTAAAGTAGGCTGGGCGCGGTGGCTCACGCCGGTAATCCCAGCACTTTGGGAAGTCGAGGCGGGCAGATCACGAGGTCAGGAGATTAAGACCATCCTGGCTTGCACGGTGAAACCTCGTCTCTACTAAAAACACAAAAAATTAGCTGGGCATGGTGGCAGGTGCCTGTAGTCCCAGCTACTCTGGGAGGCTGAGGCAGAAGAATGGTGTGAATCCGGGAGGCGGAGCTTGCAGTGAGCCCAGATCCAGCCACTGCACTACAGCCTGCCGACAGAGTGAGAATCCATCTTAAAAAAAAAAAAAAAGAAAAGAAAAGAAAAGAAAAAAGAAAGAAATTTCTGCATTACCTATGGATGTTAAATCTACTTGAGTAGACTTTAATTCCAAGTTTGTGAATAGCTTTTCTTCAAAACATGCTGAACTTGGTAAAAGAGCCAGCAATTTAGGGAAACTATGTGCACTTCTGATCTTGTCCATTTGATAAATCACCTGCCTGTCCCCTTGAGGACCCTACTAAGAAAACTGCTTAAAAACTTTTTTTAAAATTTTTTCTTTTTGAGATGAAGTCTCACTCTGTCACCAGGCTGGAGTGCAGTGGTGCAGTCTCGACTCACTGAAACCTCCACCTCCTGGGTTCAAGCAATTATCCTGCCTCAGCCTCCCGAGTAGCTGGGATTACAGGTGCCCACCACCATGCCCAGCTAATTTTTTGTATTTTTAGTAGAGACGAGGTTTCACCATGTTGGCCAGGCTGGTCTTGAATTCCTGACCTCAGGAATCCCTGACTCTCCAAATGTCCCCACTTGTTATGTCATTCCCACTGACAAAACAAAAATAATGCTATCTTGTGTTAGGCTGTTCTTGCATTGCTATAAAGAATACATGAGACTGGGTAATTTATAAAGAAAAATGAGTTTAATTGGCTCACAGTTCTGCAGGCTTTATGGGAAGCACGGTGCTGGGCATCTGATCAGCTTCTGATGAGGTCGCAGGAAGCTTACCATCATGGCAGAAGGCAATAGGGGAGCAGGCACGTCACATAGCGAAAGCAGGAACGAGAGAGAGAGTGGGAGGGGAAGGACGCCACACACTTTTAAACAACCAGCTCTCACTATTTCAAAGACAGCACCAAGGGGACGGTGCTAAACCATTCCTGAGAAATGTGCCCCCATGATCCAATCACCTCCCACCAAGACCCACCTCCAACACTGGGGATTACAATTCAACATGAAATTGGGGTGGGGACAAATATACAAACTACATCACACCCTTTCACTGCTGAATCTAATACCTGTCTCTGTATAGGCAAAACTGTTGATATTGGCAAACTTTATAATATACCTCCTATAAAAATCCAGCTTGATCCATCAAAACCCCTGCCTAATATCAAACAATATCCACTTAAACCAGATGGTGTTATAAGTCATTAAACCTATTACAGAAGGACATAAAAAGCAAGGCCTCATTATTCCATGTACTCATCCTTCTAACACCCTAATTATACCTATTAAAAACCAAACAACTGGGATTAAAGGTTTGCTCAGGAATTCTGAGCAATAAACTATATAGTGATTCCAAGACATCAGTGGTTCCAAATCCCTATATCTCATTAAACTCACAACCTATTGATAGGAGGTTTTTCACTGTCATTGATCTATGAAGTGCATTCTTCAGTAATCCAGTGGATCAGGCCAGCCAGTATCTTTTTGCCTTTACCTTGGAAGGCCAACAATTCACCTGGACAGTAATGCCTCTTGCTTTTACTGAAAACCCTTCCTGTGTTTTTCAAATATTAAAGGAACACTTGGAGGAGATAGTTTCTCCTTAAGGTTCCACCTTACTACAATATATAGATGGCCGCCTTCTTTGCTCTGCTTCACAGATAGCCTATGAAAAAAATGGTGTACAACTGTTAAAGCAACTGACTGCTAAAGACCATGAAGTCTCTGACGAAAAATTGCAGCTAGTGAAAACTCAGAAGAAATATTTGGGACACTTAACTTCAGAAAATGGATTACATTTAGACCCAGATTGGCACTTTGTAATTTCTTCAGTCAAGAACCAAGTGCCACAGAAAAACACAGAATATTATAATGCTGTATTTGTGGTGTGTAAACTACTCGTGTCTTAAGTAGAAAGCATAAAAGGTGAACCAATAAAAAATAATAACTACAAGACTTTTCAACACATAGACGGTACAAGGCCAGCTGCAGTGGCTCATGCCTGTAATCCCAGGACATTGAGAGGCTGAAGTGAACAGATCATTTGAACTCAGGAGTTTCAGACTAGCCTGGGCAACATGGCAAAACCCAGTCTCTTTTAAAAAATGGAAAAAATTAGCTGGTTATGGTGGCACGTGTCTGTGGTACCACCTACTTAGGAGGCTGAGGTGAAAGGATTGCTTGTGCTTCGGAGGCAGAGGTTGCAGTGAGCTGAGATTGTGACACTGCACTCCAGGCTGGGTGACAGAGTGAGATCCTCATCTAAAAAAAGACATAGATGGTATAAGAAGATATAAATAGAAACAACAAAAAGTTAAAAAGAAAGAGGATGGAGTTAAAGTGTGAATTCTTATTACATATCTTTCGGTTTTTGTTTATACAAGCAGTGTTAAGTTTTTATCAGATTAAAATAATGGTTATAAGATATCTGCAAGCAGCCTGGTGATCTCAAATCATAAAAAATGCAACAGATATACAAAAAATAAACAACAGGAAATTAAATCATATCACCAGAGAATCACCTTCACTAAAAGGAAGACATAAAGGAAGGAAAGAAGGAAGAGAAAACAAGCAAAACAACGAGAAAACAAATAAGAAAATGTCCTTCTTTATCAATAATAACACTGAATGTAAATGGTCTAAACTCTCCAATCAAAAGAAATGGAGTGGTGGAATGAATAAAAAAAAAAAAAAAAAAAGGACCCAATGATCTGTTGCCTACAAGAAACACACTCACCTATAAACACACACATAGACTGAAAATAAAGGGATGGAAAAAGATTGGTCATGCCAATGGAAATCAAAAAAGTGCAGGAGTAGCTATACCTATATCAGACAAAATAGATTTTAAGATAAAAACTATAAGAAGAGACAAAGAGGGTCACTATATAATGATAAAGGGGTCAATTCAGTAAGATGCTATAACAACTATAAATATACATACCCCAACACTGGAGCACCCAGCTGTATAAAGCAATTATTATTAGAGCTAAAGAGAAAGATAGATCTCAGTACAATCATAGCCAGAGACTTCAGCAGCCCCCGTTTCAGCATAGGACAGATCGTTTAGACAGAAAAGCACCAAAGAAACATTGGACTTGATCTGCACTATACATTAAATGGATCTAATAGATATTTACAGCATATTTCATCCAAGAGCTGCAGAATACACATATTTCTTCTCAGGACATGGATCATTCTCAAAGACAGGCCAAATATTTGGTCACAAAACAAGTCTTAGAACATTCAAAAAATTGAAATAATATCAAACATCTTCTCTGACAACAATGGAATAGAACTGGAAATTAATAACAAGAGGAATTTTGGAAACTATACAAACACATAGAAATTAAACAATATGCTCCTGAATGCCTGGTGGGTCAATGAAGACATTAGGAAAGAAATTTAAAAATTTTTTAGGGAGAGGGGTGGAGCAAGATGGCTAGATAGAAGACTTCACTAACCGTCCCCCTGCAACAAAGATACCAATCTAACAACTATCTACATTTAAAAAAAGACAAAATCACCTTCACTAGAAACAAAAGTTATGTGAGCATTCACAAAACCTGGTTTTTAACTTCATATAACTGAAAGAAACACTGAGAAGGGTAGGATGTTGTCCCGAATTGCCAATGCCGCCCCAGCCCCATCCTCCAGCAGCAGCCCTGCAGTGTGGAGAATCATGCACTTGGGAGAGGGAGAACACAGCGATTGTGACACATTGCGTTGAACTCAGTGGTGCCCTGATATAGAGTTATATTGGAAGAATGGAGCAATGAGTTTGGTGGTTGGGGTGGGGAAACAGGGAGGAAAGGAATGAAACAAACACTCGAGGGTAGAAGATGGTACCAGTCTGAGAATCAGGTGCCAGTTCTTTTCTACTGTGTGTCTAGTCACATTGGTGTAGACGTCCAGGCAGGAGGAGAAGCAAGTTGTAGGATCAGCTACATCTGGGCTTCCAAAGGTAATCTCAGGTGCCACCTCTCCTCCATACTTACTAGGAATCCCAGGCCCTTCCCTGCAGTGACACCATCCTGCATCCTTTGTACCCTGCTTTCCACTTCTTCTCACAGCCTTTCCCTCCCTCCCTCCTTCATTCTCCTGGCCAGGACCCACACTCACCCCACCTAACCTCTCTCTTTTGATCAGTCCCATAGTTTAGAAAAGAACAGAAATGCCAGCTGTGGTCAGGTGTTTTAAAAATTTATTCAGTGCTCTCTGGGCATGCATTTCAGGACAATAACATTGTTTCTGGTCTCAATGCACTTTCACCACATCTGATTTTCAACTATGTGAGTTAGGACACCTATATGGTCAATCAATCAACCAGGGAAAGAAACTAAGGTCCAGAGCCCTAAGGATGCTTGCCCAAATCACCCTGATTTTGGCAGAACAGGATCTTCCAAGGGCCTTAAGAGTCAGAGAAGACCGCAGCCCCTTGTGTTGTATTCTGCTGCATGCCGGGGAAACTGGATGGAAACGATTCAGATTCTTCCTGCATGAAAAGGACAACCTGTGTCCTTGGGAATCCTCCAGTGGCCCCAGTTGTTCCTGCTGGGTGTGACATCGATGCCCGAATCCAACCCTGTAAAATAGGGTGAAATTCAGATATTGCAAGTCATGAAAAATTTTCTCCTGATAGCAAAGTTGAAGGATAACAAAACTGAAGGAGGGAACATACCAAACAGAGGAGGAAGGAATATACAAAAAATAACAACAACAACAACATCAACCAACAACAAGAACAAAAAAAATACCAAGATATGGGATGTATGAAATCAGGCATCAACCCATGAAAAGGTGAAAGGGCAACAGGACCAGAAAGGAAGAGGGTCACCTGGGTGGGTGGACAGCAGAGGGGAAGCCATCTCCAAGAAGATGACCTTGACAACAGCCAACATAAGTTTAAAGGTATGGAGAAGACATTTACTCAACTAAGGGACAGTTGGTGAATTCATTTAAGGTTCACGGAAAGTAAGAAAATGAAAATACTAGGCAATGATCAAATCTTGAAAACTTCAGCATGTGTGGAAAGAAAAACTAAGAGAGTTTACCATGTGGCTCAGGTCTGAGTAGCATTCACGTAAGTCAGTAATTTTAACTCTGGCTCTCAATGCACTCAAAATCTCCACCTGCCTACACGAGGAGGATGAAAATGTGTGTGCTGGGGAAGGTACTATGGACAGAAGGGATATTGAAAAGTCAATACATAATATCTAAAATGGAAACATTTGAAGTGGCATAAATGTATATTATCAAGAGACATAAAGATAAAGAACAAAATATGAAGTAAAAGGCTTCCATGTGGTTGCTTGCCAGGAAGCTGGTGGCTAGGAAGGATTGAGAGAGAGTAGAGGGGAGACCATGTTTTGTAACAGGGGAAATGAAAGGGAAGCAGGTAGCACCTGGAGCCTGCCTCATGCAGAGAACAGGGTTCCACGCAGTGGTCCAGGATCTCAGGGATTTACTGTGGCTGAGGCCACCTGTCCCCAGGACAAGCCCTTGGCACTGAGTCTACTGAAATGTGAGGAGGGAGAAGAGGAGGCCTTCAGATATTTGACCTGAGCAGCCTGGCTTACTCTAGACTCTGTCTTGGCTCCTGGCCAGAGATTAATGTAGCAAATTGTCTCTAAATTCATCCAAGGGAGTGGAGTTCCTTCCCCTACTCCTTATCCCCTTCCACACCATCCTTTCTGGAAGTGTTATTGTGAACATGTTCTCGGATTTGTTTTTATCAGTGGAGAAACAGAAGACAGAAGAGCACTCACCCAGCAGAGCCAGAGGGAGGCAGTTCCAAAGACTCCAGTGGCCACCAGAGCCCACCAGGACCCAGGGCTGGAGGTGCACAGTGAGATCCTCAGCGCAGAGGGAGAAATCTCCTAAGAGTAGGAAGGAATAACAGAATTAGGAAGCGTTTCCTTACTTCACAGTGAGTGCAAACATGATGGGAAGGCATAGAGAAAAAGTAAGAAATTATAGGGAAACGTGCTTATTTAGGGGGAGGCGATACTGCGGGAGGGGTACACCAGACCCAGCACTGCCGTGGGGTAGGAGAAACAGGTATAACCCTTGACTAGAGAATGGATACTTGAGGATCAGTATAGTCACTAGATGAAGAGGACTACATACATTTTAAGGACATTGATGTACATTATAGTGTATCATTGGAAGTTAAGGGAAAAGAAAAGAAACTTCATAAATAAAAACAGGCTGCATGTGGTAAAATCAATAATCAGCCCTGGGACTTGTGTTTTCAAAACGCTTTATCCAGGTGTGACACCTCTGACATCCTGGATTCCCCACCCTCTAGCACCCAGTTCCCTCTCCTGTAATGAGACCAGGGTCAGGAGGAGAGATGGACAGATGGGCCCATGCTGAAGGCAGTCAGTCACCTGTGCCTGCAGATGAGAAACCGCCGCCTAACCTTTCTGAACCTCATGCGGAAAAAATGTTTGCACCACTAGCCTCCAGCACAGAGATTCCATCCCAGCTCAGTATTTAGTATTTAGAGATTTAGTATTTAGTATTTAGAGATTCCTAAATACCGAGGACTCTGCCCAGTCTGGTTTGACCATGCTCCTCCTTCCTCACACTGTGGGGCCCCAGCTTTCCCTCCCAATTCCACACCCCCAGATGCTGGTACCATGCTCAGGTTCATCGTGGACACCACTCCATCCGACATGGCAACACTTTTGATCCAGCCGCTTTGACAACCTCGTTCAGTCTCCTCTGGAGACAGCCACCCAGACCTTTGCTGATGAGCTGGGACTGAGGGGAAAAGGCCTGCGATCTCTGATGGGGTTGGCAATGGACACCAAAGTCGTCTTCTAAAGACCAAGTACGCTCTAACCACGGAAATCGTCTCTAACCACTGACTCCTCCAGAAAAGGAAGAAAGAAGCCTCTCTACACTAAGCTGAAACACTAAATACACTAAGTGTTGATTAAGTAGACTAGGTACACTAAGTGGTAAACTTGGTAAACTTAGAGCACTAAGTACACTAAGTACAATAAATGGTAAACTTGGTAAACTTAGAGCACTAAGTGCACTAAGTTCACTAAGTAATAATATTAGTACTAAGTGGTACACTAAGCTGAAACCGCAAACCGCAGCCATGGCAGAGGAACCTCAGCTTAAATAGTGTGGAGCGGCCACTGGTTTCCGCGGCTCGTAGTCGCGCCCGCGAGGAAACGCCAGGGAGGCTTCCTGCCCCGCCCAGCGGTGGCCCAGGGCACAGGGAACCACGGCTGCTTCTCTCCGAGGTTTGTGGCCTGAGAAACTCTCCGCTGCGAATCTGGGCTGGCCTCTCCGGGAAGCCTTGAAACTCAACTCCCGGGTGGGCCAGGAAGGCTGCCCGACTTGGGCAGCGCCGGCCGGAGCCTTCTTCAAAGCCGAGCTGTTCGCCGCCCTCGAGGCCCAGGCGAGCCTGGAGGAGGGACCGGGTGCGCTCAGATGGGGCCCTTGGTGACTGGCGACCCCATGAGCACCCACCCTCCAGCCTGGGGCGGGATGGCCCAATCGGGCGCTGTGGGGGTCCGTTTGGAAACCGCTCTCTGCTTTGAGGATACGCGGGGAGCTTCCCTGGAAGCTGTGAAGAGGGGCAGACACGAGGCCTCTGGCCAGCCGCGCCTCGGGTCCAGGCCTCCCTGTGTCCACATCTGGTCTCCCGGCTTTTCACAACAGTGACCTTGACAGCGCCCAGAGTCCGCTGCTTCCGTCCAGTCCGCTCTTCCCCTACGTGGCCAAGAGGACGCAGCACTGGCGGCTTCAGGAGGTGGCTGTGAGCGCGGGGCTGGGGCCAAGAGCAGAGGACCAGAGAGGAGTCTCCAAGCCACCACCGGCCCCGTCACCGGCTACCGGCTAGGTCAGGCCCCAGATTCGGGTTTGCCCAGCGGGCGCTCGGCGTCCACGCTCCCTCTCCACCTTCTTGCCTCTCTAAGGAGGACCTGGCCCACTAGGAAGCCCGGGGCGTTCTGTGAACTGGGTGTTCAAACACGGTGTGTGGGGAAGGGGCCAATTGAGATTAGACGTGAAAAACCGGGAACCTGGGGACCGCAGGGTTGGGGCCCAGGAGGGGCCCGAAGCTTCCATCTAAGACAGGTGACTAAGTGAGGGGCACAGGTGCAACAGAAAGAAAGACTGATTTGCAATTGACTTGTAGGTGTAATCGGTTTTAGTCCCTATTTGACCACCAGAGGTCTGCAGCTCTATCCTTGGTGAGTTCTGAAGGCCCCTGGGGAGAGCTGAGCCCAAGAGACTTTTTAATTCCACAGAAGAACTTCGCCTGAGGCAGGTCTCCTCTGTGCCCAGGGAAGGAAGGCTGGACGTGATGGTTTCTGAAAAAAGTTACACAGAGAAAAGGTCAAGTCCATTTTTGCTATCCTGTACTGAACACAGATCAATTAACTGGTCCCAGGATTGATAGCAACGGGCCTATAACTGGTCTCCTGGTTCCTATCCAGCCCTTCCCCCATAAAGGCAGAATCCTGTCCTCTTGGAACAGTGAATCCCCAGCAGAGGACCTCAGCTCCCAAGCTCCATTCAGCCTGGGCTCCCTGGAACCTGCTACCCTGCCCAGGAGCTGTCAACACCTGGAGTGCAGTGCAGGAAGAATGCAGGGGCGCTTGATGGGGAGGTGAGTGAGTGCAGATGGGGTTCCTGGAACTCCTTGGGCCCTTGGGGTAGCTCCCACTCAGGCTGTCCTGCAGGTCCTCACAAGGCCCACTACTGAGCAGGAAGAATGTCCCCAGGAGAGGCAAGAGGTGGGGCAAGGGCGAGTATGGGGTCCCTTGCATTTGCGGCAAAATGGAGAGGGAGATGAGAGGCAAGGAGTACTGGCCCTCACATGGAAACCTATAGCACACTGCCCAAAGGGAATGGGAAGGGAAACACAGCCACGCACGTCCACAGAAGACTTGGCAGATGGGAGAGGGTAGCTTTGAGGACTGAAATCCCTACTTCACAGGACTCTGGATACTTGGACACTTGCTTCCTCCTGTGCTTCTGTACGAATCTCAGGACTGTGGGACACTCTCTGCACTCTTATTCTTGTAATTCTCTTCTCTCCGGATGGCCTCCTTTCCCTTGGAGTGCAGCAGTGGCCATCAGATTCTTGGGCTGAAGGTCACTGGGTGACTGTGGGATTCTGGGGCCAGTTACTTCCCTTTCTTAGCCACCCCATGCTTTACAGAACTGAGCTCCACAGTCATACTCATCTCTCCCAGTGAAGCTCAAAGGAATTATTAATAAAAAACACAAAAACATAAATGGAATGATGTTTATGGAACCAATTGATTAACGTGGAAAAGTATGGGCTTCCCAGTTTTCTGCCCTTCGTGAGAACTTAATCCTGAAACACTGATCTCATGTCAACCTTCTGCCTTAACTGGGAATTCCTGTGGCCAGTCTGTTCTAAGGGTATCCCGTGAGCCCCTAGGGATGGAGAACAGAAGGCCACTTTTCCTAAACACACACGTGGTTCTGTCCTGGCC